>NC_000003.12:166129816-166281331 GCF_000001405.40 Homo sapiens | reverse complement strand
AACTCTATATACTTTAGTGTTATTTTGAATTAGGCATATATTCTGGTTTTTTATGTATTTGAAACACTAAAAATATGTATTACTGAATATAACTTACCATTAAGCTTTATATTAATGTAGTACTGGTTTAGAATTTAACACTTTAGAAAATGTGACTAGAATTCAAAATATTTTCAAAATAAATTTAACGTATCAGAATTAATGAATAACTTTAAAATTTAAGATAGCCTTAAAATTTAGAAAACATTGCATTTTAATAAAGATACAAAACAAAGGTATAATAGATCATTGTTGTACTATTAACTCCCAAAAGGGAAAAAAAAATTAGGACTCTGCTATAAAAGCACCTATCTCAATTAATCATTCATTATATCAGTAAAGAGGAGAAAAACTGTGTATCAGCCCAGTGGAAACCTGAAGTAAACTCATCTCTACTTTCTTCCAACCCTGCATCCCTTCCCATTGAAATGACAATGAACTTCTTGTAGTAGGTTGAGTAATGGTAGTATATGAAAATTTTCCTGGATTATCTAGGTAGGTTAAATATGATCACAACAGTCATTAAAAGTAGAAGAGAGAGAGAGTAGAATCAGAGGGAGAAGTGATTATGGAAGAATAATTAGAGATGCAGTGTTGCTGGTTTTGAAGATGAAGGAAGGGGTACATGGACCAAGGAATGTATATGACCTCTAGCAGCTGGAAAAGCATGGAAGTGAATCTCATTCCTCCAGAAAGAAAGGCAGCTGTATTGACAATTAGAACTTAGCCAACTGAGACCTACATTGGACTTCTAAATGAACTCATCGAATTTTAAACTAATTGATGTGATTTTAAAGGCATGGAATTTGTAGTACTTTTACAACAGCAATAGAAAACTAATTCAATCCTCAAAGTAAAGTTCTGTGTCCTTTGCTTCTTTCTATGATATTAACTCATCTAGTGCCTATCATGTTCCACCAATGTTACTTTTAGTCAATTTTTACTGTAAATTCTGCAATAGTGGTTCTTAAAACACCTATTTTGTCATGCAAAAAAACTCTGTTAGACTCTAGGAACATCACCATCAATTAAACACAAAGCCTGCTGTCAATAGGGGTCAATAAGTGAAAATAATAAGAGTGAAACCTGCAACATCTCACATCTTAATGTTAAAAAATAAACATAGCAAAGCCTAGAAAGATGTTTAATTAGACTTCTGGTATATTATAGCAGAAACTGCATATGTCCAGGACAACTTATCTAGAACAGCAGCTGTAACAGACAAATCTTGATTTTGCCTTCTGTATTATTTTCTAGGGCCACCATAATAAATTACCAGAAACTTGGTGGTCTAAGTGACAGAAATTTATCATCTCACGGCCCTGGAAAATAGAAATCCAAGATAAAGATTTTAGCAGTGTTGGTGTTTTCTTAGGGTTATAAAAGTGCATGTGTTCCATAACCTTTGTTTCGTTTCTGGTGATTTGATGGCAACTTTCCACATTCCTTAGCTGGCATTGTAGAGGCATCATCCCAATCTTTGACTTTATATTCCTGTGGCATTCTCCCTGTATGCATGTTTCTGTGTTCAAATGTTTCCTGTTCATAAGGACACCAGTCACACTGGATTAGTGCCCACCCTAATGATCTCATCTTAATATTAATTATATCTCCAATGACTTTATTCCCAAATAGATCATATTCTGCAATACAAGGGGTTAAGATGTCAAATATGAATTTTACAAGGACAAAATTCAACCCATAATACCATCCTACAATGAATTCCCTCATTATCTTTTTTTCATTTCAGAAATCCATTACAAATGCTGATTTCCCGAGTCTTACTCACCTGTGCAGATATGGGCAGATAATTTAAGTTGGGCTAATTAACGTTTCATCCTGTGTTAGAGTTCTCCAGAGAAACAGAACCAGTAGGGTGGATGGATAGATAGATGAATGGATACATAGATAGATAAATAGATAGATAGATAGATAGACAGATAGACAGACAGGACTTAATTTGAGATTTAGGTGACATACGTATGGGAGCCAAGAAGCCCCACAATGTACTGTGTGCAAGCTGCATGACCAGGAAAGTCTGTGGTATAATTCATTCTGAGTCTGAAAGCCTGAAGACTGAGGATGCTGACCACTGGCTGAATGAAATAGACATCCCAGCTCAATAAGATACAGTGGATTTGACCTTTTTCCATTGTTTTGTTCTATCCAGGCTCTTGAGGGGTTGGATGATTCCTGCTCCCATTGGTGGAAGTGGATCTTCTTTATTCAGGCTACTGCTAATCTCTTTTACCCTCGTAGAAAAACTCAGAAAAGATGTTTTTCTAGCTATCATATAAGTTTATTTTAGGCTTAGGGGTACATGTGCAGGTTTGCTATGTAGGTAAACTGCAGTTTATGGGGGTTTAACGTATAGATTATTTTATTATCAAGGTAATAAGCATAGTACCCAACAGTCATTTTTTTCTCATGCTCTCCCTCTCCCAATCTCCTCCTTCAAGTATTATTTTTCCCTTGTTGTTCTCTTGTTGTTAGTGTCCATGTGCTCTCGTTTTTAGCTCCTACTTATAAGTGAGAACATGTGGTATTCAGTTTTCTGCATCTGCATGAGTTTGCTTAGGATAATGGCCACCTAGCTCCATCCGTGTTCCTGTAAAGGACATGATCTTGTTATTTCTATGGCTGCATAGTATTCCATGCTGTATACATACTACATTCTCTTTATCCAATCTACTGTTGATTGGCATTTAGGTTGGTTCCATGCCTTTGCTGTTGTGAATAGTGCTGCACTGAACATACGCTTGCATATGTCTCTATCGTAAAATGATTTCTATTTCTTTGGATATATACCCAATAATGGGATTTTTGGCTCTAATGGTAATTCTGATTTAGCCTCTTTGAGGAGGATTCACCTGGTTTTCCACATGGCTGAACGAATTTACACTCCCACCAGCAGGGCCTAAGAATTCCATTTTCTCTGCAACCTCACCAGCATCTGTTAGTTTTTGACTTTTTAATAATAGTTATTCTGATCAGTGTAAAGTTATGTATCATTGTGGTTTTGCAATTGCAACAAAAACAAAAATTGGCAAACGAGATTTAATTACACTAAAGAGCTTGCAGAGCAAAAGAAACCATCAAAAGAGCAAACAGACAACCCACAGAATGAGAGAAGATATTTTTAAACTGTGCATCTGACAAAGGCCTAATATCCAGAATCTACAGGGAACTTAAATTTATAAGCAAAAAACAAGCAACTCCATTAAAAAGTGGACAAAGTTTATGGACAGACACTTTTCAAAAGAAGACATGTGTGGCCAACAAGCATGTAAAAAATGTTCAACCTCACTAATCATTAGAGAAATGCAAATTGAAACCACAATGGATACGTTTTAAATCAGCTAAGTTGACACATGAAATTAACCATCACAAATTCTTAGTTACAATTATCATTTTGGTGAATGGAATATTACTAAGCTAAGCAAATGAGCACCATCTCTTTGAAGTTTGCCTTAGCAATGGAGAAAGAAACATTCTTTTCTGGTTCACGTTAGAATGAAATCTTGGAACAGCTCTTGGTCAATTTCTTTTTCTACTATATGAATAAAATCTGACTAATAATGAAGCCAACACAGAGAAATTTGGAACATTGATAAAGAAAAACAACATCTTGATATAGTTAATTACCTGGATCTGTCTGTATGTGAAGGCTTCCCTTTGAATTTTTCATGTTATAATTCAATAAATTCTCCCTTTATATTTAAACAAGTGTGGTTTGGATTTCTGGCATGAAACTGAGGAAAGCTCTGCTTGGTTTTCTGGATGAGCAGTCAGGGGTAAAATCTCAGGTAAATTGATAATTCCAAAGTGTTCATAACATAAAATTTATTCAGATATAATATCTATTCTGCAATGAAACCTTGATGACAAGATTAAGTATAAAACTAGCCTTTGACTTTTTTAATGTGAATATTCAATGTACTTTAGATGTTCAGTCTAATAATCCATTTTCAAATAAAAATACAATTGAATTTTTCAAATAAAATAGAGGGAACGACTGGAGGTATTTTCATGTAGTATATTCTATTTAGTTTGTTATTTTCCTTTAAATGCTATTATGGGAAAATCAATACTACTCTATTCTTCTACTATGCCACATTTTTCTGTATCAACATAGATATATCCCAGAATTGTGTTTCCCAGTATCTGTTTTTCTGTATGGTTCTGAGTTATATTTGGCCAAAGGAAAACTTACAGAAGAATGAAGTAATAGCCATTATTCTTGGAATGTTATCACAGTCAGATGTGGTGACAGAATCACAAGGTAGCTGGAATATCACTCTGTTTCATGACTTTCCAATGATTCTTTCTCTGACTGTTGAGTCTGTTGTCCAAAAATATTCTGGGATCCTTAGATGAGAAGCAGTAGATACATAGACATAACAGCTTCCCATAGGCCTTTCAACAAGCTCTGGTTTGTGAATTCACTGCAGGGACAAGAGGTAATAATGGGTGCCTCATATTTCCCTGAGAGTCTTATCTGTCTACTTGTACCAGTGCTTCAGTCAAATTGTTGGTAACTCTGATCCTGGTAAACTTTCTTAAACAACTCTTCCCACAACTGTGTAAGGTATAATTTTAATAATAACCCTCTTACCTTCCTCTTACTCATAGTATCTTTGTTTTCTTGAGTGAACTCTGACTGATACACCAACATAAATTAGCACTCAGAAATCTGTTAAATTTTTACTGTCGTGCTATCACTTGTTCAATGCTTGAGTTATTTGTCTACTTCTTTCTGAAGCTCATAAACACAGATATTTGATAGAATACGTTTGGTTTACTTTACCTAATAGTTTTATTTAAATATTAACTTTCTAAGGACCATATTCAGCCTCAATGAGAATTGGCAATGTCTAGATTGTTCTTTCCTTCTACATAATTTCAAAGGAAAATAAAAGGGAGGGGTATAGACTATAAACACAATTAGGGCAGAGATTTTACTTGTTTTGTGTATTACTTTATCCTGAGTACCTACAATAAACAATATTATTACTCCTAAAATGTAAATTTTGAATAAATAATACTATAATTTTATATAGTCAGTAATTGAGCCTTTGTATTTATTGCATGATGAAAATTTGTTTACTACAAAAAAATCAGATACATTGCCCCATTCAAGGTACAGGGAAAAAAATTTCTATATGCCCATAAAAGTGTCACACTCTGAGGATATAGTCTCCCTCTTAGTTCTCCTTTGACAACAAATTACAACATTGGTAATTGAAATGCTATATAATTTTTTCAGTAAAATAGCTTATTACTTATTTCCCTGTATAGTTTATTTACATTGCACAAAGCTTAATACCTGTCAGAATATATATATACTAGTACATTTATGTAGTTGAAATATTTTTTAAAACTACTTGATGACTCTTCTTGCTGTGAAAGAATTTTTAATGTTCTGTATCTTTAAATCCCAAGTCTCCCAAGTTAATTAAACAATTCATTTTCAGATAATCTTCACAACTATTAAAAGGCATTTACATGTGTATTTTTACATGTGCAAAAAATGAATAAATCCAGAGATGACTGTTTTTAAACCTAAATATTTGATCAAATAATATATATGAATAGGCATAAATTATGCACTTCATCAATGAGAATTGATGTTCATTATTTGTTTCATTTTTACTACAAGATCATAAAGCAGAGAGAGAAAATTGAAGCAAAAATCTAATTTTTTCATCCATTGGTGAGATACGATGATGAAGTGATTAATACAATCCCATGGGTTCTTAAATCATACCTAATATTAGGGAGGAAGTAGTGGGATTTTAGAGACTCCTGCTGCTAGCATCCTCAGGCTTGATGGTATTTACTCATTTACATTTAAGATAATCCAATATAAATTCCAACTTAATATACAACCTCTGCTGTCATCCCAACCCAGTGGGTTTATCCTTATTTTTCGTATCTGAGTTCATCTATGCCAACATGTCTCTTGATAACCTGCTATCATTGAAACCTGTCTGCTTAAATGAGATAAACTGGAGAGAATTGATATTTTAGCCTTAAAATAGAACCTAGAGATGTGGGAAAGTGAGGCTTTCAGTGACTCATGAATCCCCTTAACTAGAAGACATATCACATGCTTCTGAACCACCATGAAATCCTGTGAGTATTTTCTTATTCATTATACTTGCCTACAAGTAATAAAGCACAGATCCTGTTCTTCAAATTTATCTCTTGAAAGACTTTAAATTCTAGTTGATTGAAACTACATAGTGGGAAATACTTTTTTCTAAGGATCATGTTTCAAAATCAAGAAGCAAAAAGAAAAAAGAAAAAAAAAACAGGTGCTTTATTCACAGTCATAAGGATCTGAAAGATTGTTTTTATCAGCACTCTTATCCTAAGGAATCTCCTTGAGGGAGAAAGAACGAGAACACAGAGCTTCATAGCAGAGCTATAATGCAGAATCTGAAGAATATTTACGGTTATAATTTGCACAGATCACTTAGTGCTCTAACACGGTGCTCCTGATCACAGCATAAGTCACACTTTAATTTTAACCTTTGCAGTTCATCAATAGATTCAATATCAAAAATAATTCAGGACTGACACTACTGGTTTACAGGTAAGTTTAACAAGAATGGGGAGGCTTAGTAATGTATTAGTTGGCTTGTCAAGTGAGGCATAAAGATTCATGACTCTTAACCTATGTTTCCATCGCAAACTCAGTGCCATAAATAATGCAAGCAGCTAATCAGGCATAGAAAAGATATACAGCATCATTGAAAATCAGTTATTTGTATTATTCAAGCTTTTAAAAATGTTTCCTATGTAAAGTAATCCAGTGATGTAACTCATGAAAAATCTGTGCTGACTCATAACCAATATTCAGTGTTTATGTTTAAAGTTTTGTTTTTATAGTTCCATGATATAGCATTATTTCTTAAACAGTAAGTCTTTTTAGATAAAATGATTTTGCTTATGTTATATTATGATTTATACATAACATTGATTGCTAAGATTTAAAGTGAATTCCAAGACAATATTTTATAACTTCTTTTATTATATACTTTGAAGTCAGGAAAAGAATTTTTAATAAATACCAACATAAGATAAAATCTACTGCAAACTTAAGAGATAGATTGAAAATTATGGAGAGCAGATGAATGAGAATTTTCACTCTGAACTTGTATTAGTTTCCTAGAGCTGCCTTATCAAAATATGACAAACTAGATGGCTTGAATGACAGAAAATTACTGTCACAAAATTTTGGAGGCTAGAAGTCTTACATCAAGTGTCATCAGGGTTTTCATTTTTGTTTTTTGTTTTCATGACTAGGAGGAAGAATTTATTCTGTGCCGCTCTTCTAGTTTCTAGTAGTCTCAAGAGTTTCTTGGCTTGTATATGGATTTTTCCTTGTGCTTTCACATTGTATTTCCTCTGTATGTGTCTAGTCCAAAATTTCCTCTATTTATAAGGACACCAGTCACATTGGATTAGAATCCAGCCTAATGACCTCATCTTAACATAATGAGGGGTTAGGGTTCTGATGTATCTTTTGTAGAGAAGAAACACAACTCAACTTATCATAAACCCCAATAGGTCAAAACTTTCTTAAAATGTGTTTAGCAAAAACACACATGATACGATCACAAATTGTAGCCTACCTGAGGAGAGCAGGCAAGACAATAATTGTGGAACTAAATAGATATATTTTATATGAAAAGAATGATACTGTCCTCCAAATTGTATTTTAAACCTACAACAATAATTATTATCTATTCAAGGGAGGGTTTGTGATCATGCCATTCAGTCACAATTTTTGGAAACTCATTATTATTCAGTTTTTGTAATGGGTATCTTGATTTGATAACGAAAATGAGAAAACAGGAAGGAAGGAACCAAAAAGAGAGAAGAAAACCCTGTGAATCAGCCATATTAAGTAAGTTTGTGCTACACAATCTATCAAATCCAAAACTTGGGAGGCTTAAAACTACAGATTCATATCTTGTTCTTACTAAATTTGCAAAATGGGTGGATTAGGGTTGATTTCCATTTCCTCACTTAAGGATTCAGGTTCAAGAAGATTTACTATATTTTGTTTTCACAAACAAATCATGAATCATGAGATTCCTCATTTGGAAGTAGTAGTAGAATAGATAATAGAGAATCACGCTCAAGCTTTTACATGTTTTATGACACATTTATTTTCACATTTCTTTGGTCAAATAAAGTCACACATCTATGCTGAAGATAAAGGGAGTAGGAAATGCAGTTCTTGTTTTCAGAAAAAACAGAATGCAAATATTGGTGTGAGTACTAATATTATTTCCTATACTGTGTCAACAAAAAGTGTACATTGGGTGTGTATATATATGTATATATACTTAAAAAGTGTGTATATATGTATATATGATTATGTCTATATGTGTATGTATATATGTGTACATATGTACACATGTACACATGTATGTATGTGTACATATGTACACATATACACAAAACGTACTTTCTTTTTTTTTTTTTTTTGAGACGGAGTCTCGCTCTGTCACCCAGGCTGGAGTGCAGTGGCGCCATCTCAGCTCACTGCAAGCTCTGCCTCCCGGGTTCACGCCATTCTCCTGCTTCAGCCTCCCGAGGAGCTGGGACTACAGGCGCCCACCACCACGCCCGGCTGATTTTATTTTATTTTATTTTTGTATTTTTAGTAGAGACGGGGTTTCACCGTGTTAGCCAGGACGGTTTCGATCTCCTGAAGTTGTGATCCGCCCGCCTCGGCCTCTCAAAGTGCTGGCATTACAGGCATGAGCCACCGCACCTGACCCACAAATCGTAATTTTTAGGTCTCTCTCCATTCTATGAAGGCATATATACCTAAAAAGTACATTTTGTGACAATAGTTTTCATTGTCAAAATTATTATCTTCACTGATTGATTAATATTCAATCTTAGCAGTAGAAATTTACTTCTTTGTATTATCTTCAGTTATCCTCATTTAAAATGCAAACACGAAAATATCTTTTTGAGAAAAAAAGATGACATATTATTGCAAGAATCTGTGTCAAACTCTAATTAAATTCCAGGCATGTTATTTCCTCACTTCATGGCTGAAAATACTTGAATCTTGTGTTAGATTTTCCCAGTCTTGTCCTTAAGATCAAAGCTTCTCTGAAACAGAAGGTCCTGAAATAACGGCAATACAGTATTTGAATTTTGTAACTGAGTCAGATATTATTCTTTCAGGTTCCTCTTTGCAGAAATGGTGACTGGCTTTCTGTATTGTTATGAATAATGATATTAATGATACACCATGTATTTTTAGAAGTATCAGTAAGTAGTCACAAGAGAATCTAGGTTCAAGTCACTTCCTACTAGAATACTTTCTGACTATTCCAACAATCAAGATTTGGTTATCTGCTAACCTGAAGTTCTCAGAAAACTTACCGTCTTTTAAGCTTCATATGTTATTATACTTTCTAGTCTGTTTTCCCCATTAGGCCTTGTGTTCCTTAAAGGTAGTGAATATGCATTACTATCCCAAGAATAATTAGTATATAATACAGTGCCTAAAATATCATATACAATACATTTTTTCAGTGGAACAGTTTCTGTACTTGTAGGTCTACCACACAATATTTAAATTTTCCTTATAGGAACTTACTTTATCTAATGGTAAAATGGGCACAGTAATATACTACACATGCTTGTATATGTGTGTGTGTGTACTTATGTTTGTGAATTAAACAAGATATGCATGTTTGTATCTTGTACAATAATTGTTGCAGGCTGGTTGGGAGTAACTTTCTTTACCTGTGCCACCTTCCTAGGCCTCAGTTCTTGCTTTATTAATTATAAATTATATCAGACTCTACAGGTCAGGTCTTGCCCTTACACTTTCAGATTTCCTTTACTACAATGAAATAAATTTGTCCTAAATTCAAGTCCAATAGATGACATAACTGCTGACAGACCTACTTGATGTTAACTGACTGCTGGCCAGAACTCATAAATTTCCTGGCCTCTAATGTTTCTGTCTCACGGTTCATCCTATTTCTGAAAAACTCTCGATAGTCCTTATATTTTAATCCTAACACCTATTAGTTTTTGGAAAAATAACCCCTTTAGAAGAAATGGATTTTAAAAAATGAAAATCAACTTTAATAATAAATTATTCACTATTTTAAAAGAGAAATTTGATGAGCAAAGTAAAGTGAGTAACAGTGATATTAGTATCCATGTGAAAATCAAAAGGCATAGATCTATTAAAGAAGAATTACAACGAACTTCAAAATTGTAATTTAAAGGAGAATGTGCTGGAAGTTAATAATTTAATACGTACGGTTGTAGGAAATACATTAACATATCACCCTGTGTAGCATGACTTTCCATTTAGATTAAAGGTTACTCTATTAAATACATTTTAGAAATTTCTATTCCATGGTTTTTGTGCTTTTACAGAAAGTAGGGCCATAACTGTGAAGTGTTGGTTTTATTAGTAGATTAAAAACTTTGCAAATACTTACATGAGGCCACTGCTGTCTGCTTCAAATAAAATTTTATCAAACAAATATTTTTCTGTTTTTGTGATCAACTATGAATGTTCCTGTTTTACTCTTTCAAGGCAACGTTTCTGAAAGGCAAAGATTATCTTAACTCTTAAGTTTATCCCAATTTTCTGACTCAGCATTTCTGCATCTGCTTCTGTGTAAGCAAGTCTGTATAACTACAAGCTGATCCCATTTCAACTAACCATCTCTCTTTCATGACTATATAAGAAAACAGTTTTGGCCATTTATAATACATACATGTTTATTCCACTGAAGGGATCTCTCTACTATCAACATGTTTTAAATCTTCCCCACAATATGTCAGGAGCACTTTGAAAACTAACTTACAAAATAAGTATATTTTGTATCATTTACATATATCTTTATTGACACATTAGATCTTCACTGTCCAATATAATATCCACTACCCATATGTGACCTTTGAAAACTTGAAATATGAGTAGTCAGTGATGCACTGTAATTATAAAAAACTCATGCAAAATTTCTAAAGCTATGTATCTAAACAATAATGTAAAATAGTTCATCAGTGTTTACATTGATTACATGTTGATATAATATTTTACATATAACATATAGTGAAAGTTAATTGAACAATTTTATTTTTCTTTCTTAATGTTACTACTAGAAGATTTTAAATTACCTATGTAGTTACATTATATTTCTTTCTTTTTCTGTGGAGAATGGGGACTTTATATTTCTATTAACCAATGACATGCTAGATTAATTCCTACAAGGTAGAGAGCATAATGACTCAATCATCTTTGTATTTCTCATATTCAGCAGAATAAACATTTAATTAATGTAACTATTTAATATGTGTAAATTACATAGAAAATATTGTTTTATAATAAATAAAATATATAAAACCTTTGATAGTGTAATGAAACACAATCAATTCCCATGGTTTTGCTGAAACATGTGAATACTAGAAATAAAAAAAAAATGTACTTTATTTAAAAATAGTTTTGAAATGTATGAGACTTTCAATTAAACAAGAGAACATAACCTGCACAGAATAAAATAATTCAAGCCACATTCAAAACAAAAACATATACTGAAAACTGTTTAAATTATTAAATGTTACCCACCATCTCCCAAACATTCTGCTATATGTACAATTTTATAGTATCACGATTGATGACTTTCTATTTTTATTATCTAATCGATGATACAAATCATCTCTATTTCAATCTATGGTCTCAGTGAGGGTTCTAAGTTTCTTAGACAGTGGGCTATCTCTGAAGTCTTTATCCAGTCACTAAAAGCTGACTTCAAATCAAGAGAAAGAGATTAAAATAAGTCTCCCCATTTTCTGCCTTTCCACATTGTTACGTTTCAGCTCTGGCATTCCATTTGTAGGAATGGATTTCAGTGGCCTCAAGGTAAACACTAACTGTGGGCAACACAATAAATTGAACCATATTGAATAAAGTCGGCATGCCATTAGCTTGCTTATTGTTGCAGAAATTGCAAATTTTACTGAAAAGGAGATTTACATTTTAATTTGGAGTCTCTTGATCCCAAAGCATGCACATAGTTACTGTAAAGAATCCTGGCTATGCAAAGATATATTGTTAACCTACAGACCACAAGAGACAATAATCTTTAAAAATTATGTTTCTGCTTATTATTATTATTTATGTATTTCTTGAGGGAGACTTGATAGAGTTAATGCGTAAATGAGGGCTTTTACTTTGTGCAGAGGAATGCTGAGAGAGAACAAAATAAAATTTTAGTTTGTGTTATGTACTTAGGGACTATCTTATGCATAATCTCAGTTAATCTTCCAGAAAATCCAATGACAAGTATATCGTTACTCTATTTTAGAGACAATAATACTGGGTGATTTTCACACCTTGAGTCTCCTTCTGTTTAATCTGAAACTCTCTCTTCATCTCACATTCCAATTCATTTTAGCAATAGTCATTGTCCTCAGGATGAGATGGGTATTATCTCCAAAAATTGAAGGAATGTTTTTAACAGCAGAAACAATTTTATCTTCAGTTCTGTGCTTGCTTTATTTCATCTTTCAATCACAGCAAATTGAACTGGCTTTCAGGGGTTTCTACTACAAGTAGGGACCCCTACTTTTCTGCTGAATGACTTCTCCAACAAGGAGTTGGAGACAATGTCCCGCAGCTCTAAATTTATTGTAATAATGTTACTGTGCTTCATATGTAGGGTTTACTCAGCACAAATGTGCCTACCTGGCTTATGTTATCTAGTAATTTTGATCAAGATCATTTTTTTTTTCGAGTCTTGCTCTGTTGCCAGGATGGAATCCCATGGCACAATCTCAGCTGACGGCAACCTCCATCTCCAGGGTTTAAGTGATTCTCCGTACCCCAGCCTCCCGAGTATAGAAGGGGTTTTAACATGTTGGTCAGGCTGGTCTCGAACTCCTGATCTCAAATGATTCACTAGCCTCCACCTCCCAAAGTGCTGGGGTTACAGGTGTGAGCCACTGCACCTGGTCCCACCAAGATCATTTTTAACTGATTCTAACTCAGTAGTTCTTGTTTCGTTTTTAGCAAATAGATAAAGTTGGCCGAATGTAACAATTTTGCTTAAAAACTAATCAAAATGTGGCAATTGTGTAAGGATTATTCATGAAGATCAGTGAAGTGCATACCCAATCAAAGACTTGGGTCAGCAAGAGATACTGGAAAAATGGAGTTCAATGCTGGTTCGGTGCCAGTAGTATTATCAGCCAATACTGTTGAACACTGCATCTGTGAGATGTTTATTTAAAACTGTCACCAGATATTAGAATGCCATTCTAGATGACCTTCAAGCTTGCTTGCAACAGATGCACATATTCCTAACTTCAACTAAAAATGTTATTTCTCTTTTCTTTCTTTTTTTGCTGTTAATATTTTATGTCATTACTATGATGTTGCCAGCAAGTTACCCAATATGTATTAGTATCACTTTTATCTCTATAATAGAGATAATAATGACTTGTAGGATCATTTGCTAATTAATATAACAATGAATTTATAGAGTCACAGTACTCTGACAGTAATTATTACTTATTTCCCCATAAATATCGGTTGTCATGCTTCCTCCATCCCCAAATTCACAATTGCTAATTCACTTTCGTTCTTCAATTTATACATAGAAGCACATGCATCTGTTCAGAGGACCATGTCCTCTTCCCAACAAGTATTTTACTATGCACATATGCTAGCAAAGGGATAACTCTCAAAATAGAAGGAACCTCCATTCTTACTCTATTTATGTGCAATATTGGTAAATATTTACCTAGCATGAGACATCATTCCCCGTCTTCAATTATATCCATAAAAAATAATCAACTTTTAAAACATAGTTTAGATTTCTACATGGTTAAAAAGTTAAAATATTGAAAATTTTTGAAAAAACTGGATTTCAGATATAGGACCATATTATTTAAAATTGTGGTTTGATATCAGAAGTAAAATCTGGATCTAAACCCTGCATAAACCAATTAACCGCTCTATTATATTGGCAAATTGATTAATTTCTTTAAACCTCAGTTTTCTCAACTGTAAAATGGAGACAGTTACATTAATCACAGCAACTATAATTTATTAACGGCTTATCCTGTGCCAAGAACTTATTTAATTCTCATAATAGTCTTAAAAGTCCATATTATTATCATCTTTATTTTATCGATGAGATAACTAACATAGAGAAATACAAAATAAGCTCACATTGCTCATTTTTGGTAGAGTAGAAGATAGAGTATGGTGCATCTGACTCCAGAGCCAATCCAATTAACCTGCCGATTGCATTGGGTTGATTTGAATATAAAATTAAATCATGTATGTAAAGTGTTTAGAATATTGTCTGGTACACAGTAAATGTGCCAGGTATAATTATAACAATCATGATCATAATTCTAGTCATCAATACAATCAAATGATTATATAAAGAGCAAAGGGAATCAGAAATAGGAGAACAATATTATATATTTGTAGCATGAAAACAGAGCATAGCAAGGCAAAGATTAATAGAATGGCATTTAACTAGATTATTTAAAAATCTGCTCTGAGTCCTTCTTTTGAACTATATTGAGATGCAAACTAGAGACTATGACCAAGTTTTATTGTATATAGTACCCAAATGTTATACTATTTTAAGCATAATCACCCCTCCCCACACCTACTTCTGAAAAATACATATTTTCAACCCATTTTATTGCAACTTAAATTAAATTAGTCACAAAATATTTAATAATATTTCTAAAGTATGAGAATAATTTAAGTAATTGTAATACTCCCCTATTTTAAGTGTAAATAATATTATCTTTATATTAGAATGTTTTCTACCAAAGTAACAGTAAAATATGCAATTTACCTTAAAAAAGAATTCTCGGAACGGCATTTAAGTTGCCCTGCAGATGCAAGAAAACTCATACTTCATTAACACACCAAAAAAAATCTATAATCAGTTTCTAAGTGAATAACTCTAGTAATATTAAATAATTCCCTAGCTAATAATTCAGTGAAAATACAATGGAACTAAAATTCACATTTTAAAATCCCAAACAGCCTCCTGCTTGTACAAAAAAGTGTCGTGTAAACCAGTGTCATTGTTAATAAACACCAAAGCCAGAAGTTCCCAACTGTGTGAGTACTGCTAGGAGGCTCAGCATCACTATATTATATTGCAGAAACAATCATTTTCATTTTTTCTTCTTTCAAAAAGTATAATTACATAGACTGTATGAAAATAATTCTCAGCTTGCACATGATGTCCTTTATTAATGTACTTATAGATATTTGTTGGACACTGTTATCAAGCTGATTTATGTCTGCGGACTAGAAATATTTACTAGTACACAGGCATTCTCAAAAGTATGGTGACAAATTTCCCACTACTTTAAATTCTATGCACAGGGTTTTTACTTTGGATGTCTATACCTAAACTACCTTCAAACTCTGGAAAGTCATTACATAATGAGGGCTTTCTACAATTACATATATTTGTGTAATACTGCATACCCTTCATTCAATTTATTTCTAGAAATTCAGGTTAACAACCTGGAGATATATGGAAATAACCAAGAGCAAGAAGCTTTACTTAAGGGTAAAGCCTCACAGACTCTATAATGGCTTTATAACGAAGTGATAGTTTCAGCATGTCATAATCATAACTCAACTCATTGGCTTCTGAAGAATAATAGCTGTTTCCACAGAAGTTTAAAACTGCTGGTAAACCTAGTACTCCACCATTAGTTTGACTAAACAAGTAACATTATGCGATTAAAGTTATTCATCACCATGTTTAGGCAACTTTGTCTAGACCACTTCTTAGGCTGTTTGCATGTGTGTGTGTGTGTTTGTGTGTGTGTGTTCATTGACTAGCTCTGGTCAAAACTGACTGTGGCTTGGTGACGATGCCATGTTCTAGGACCTACGTACATGTGTGTAAAAACAAACTGAAACTTCTCTCTTTTGAGGGTGTTGTGAAGACAATTCCCTCAGAACGAATGTGAAACCAGAGTATACAAATAAAACAAAATGAACTCCTTAACTCTAAATTTGTAAAAGTCTGTGATGTTCCTTCCAATATGAAGTAATGTTTCCATTCCAATTCATTATCTCTTCATAAATAGGAATTCTAGAAAATAAGACATTAAATTTCTTTTGGCATAAAAATGAGTAGTCTTAAAGATTATCTTTCATTCATGAAAAGCAAGGTTGCTCAAATATAAAATCACCTTGCAAAAAGTTACAGAAACACACAAACAATCTTCTCGGCATGTGAATGTTAATTATTCCAATTTATTTTTATTTTTGTTCAACTGAACCTTGAAGTTTTCTATTTCTTTCTGCTTACTCTTCCCTTTCTCAGTCAGCCCATAGACTACGATTGAATAGGTATAGCGCTGACTTGCAAGAGTTCCATCTACTCATCTGCTCTGGAGGTTATCATGAAAAAATAACAAAACTTTCAATTGCTTCATTTATTAAAAAGAAACACTTGCTTTTTCATCCACCACAATATTTTACAGGACAAGTATAATAAACTTACTCATTAACTCATTTATTTCTATATTAAACAACATAACACTTACTAAGTCAATTTTAGGAAGAAATTAAGGTAGTTCCTGCTATGTCAATTAATTATTTTTATTCCAGGAAAAATATTGTAGCTATGAAGAACAGATAGACAACACTATCTTAAATTTTGCGAGAAATGTTTTTCCTTTGAATAAGAATTTTAAATTATGTTTTACAATATAGCATACAATAAAATGGACTGTATTTTTCCCATCATTAAATATGAAAAAAATAAAAGTAATGATTAATAAGTTTCTCTAGACTAGCTCCTTTCTCAGTAATGATATGTAAATTATTTTAATATTTCCCGCAAATTACTAAGGTTTGGCAGAATTTTTCTTAAAGTGTTATCTCATATTGAACAATGTAGGATACATGTTTTGAATATGTTCTCTACATTTTCTGGGTCTTATTGTTTAGATGCTTCTTATGTTTAGCTTTCAGTGAAATAAAAAATATAAAAATAGAGTAAGAAACATCTGCCCTTAGTTTTCTCATGCATAGTCATTATATACAGATTACAGACACATACTTTTATTGTACTGAACATGATAGTTTATTATTAATTACATGATTAGTCTAATGGTTCTCAAATCCTGAGGCATGGGAAAGAGGAAGTAAGGGATTCCTCTTCAAAATATCTATGTATATGCCTTATGGCTATAACATACCTTATAATATCATTGTCATAATGGAGAAGCTGGGGGCCATGTGTATTTTGATTAAGTTTTGCAGGTGATTTTATTTTATTTATTTTTTTATTATACTTTAAGTTCTAGGATACATGTGCACAACGTGCAGGTTTGTTACATATGTATACATGTGCCATGCTGGTGTGCTGCAGGTGATTTTAAAATGCTGCCCACTAAACTTTCTTTGTGAGAATCATACCCTTAATTATGAATAATATGTGAAACTGCAATATAAGAAAACAAACTCTAACAGATATTGATAGTCGCAGGGTCAAAATCTAATCTTTTGATTTTTGGAAAATAGTATGCTCAGATCATTCCTAGGCTCTATGATATCTTGGTGTAGCCATGTGGCCAAGTCTTGCAAATGCAATGTAAGCACACATGTTGTGAGTACGGCCTCAGGAAAAAAATTTACTTTCCTGATAATAAGTGACAAGTGTGGCAAACAAATAATATATATGTTCTTGTTCCTTTCTTCCTGCCTGATATCTGAAATAAGGATCTGATGCCTGAGGATAGTACAGCCATCTAGTAACAATCAAATTGTGTAGCAGAGCAGAGAGAGAGAGAGAGAAAGAATGAGCTTTCAAGCTAGCAGTAACCTTTCCACTTCCAGATTGTTTTTAAGTAAGGAAAATAAGACTCCCACTTAAGACTTTATCAGGTTTCTGTTATACGGACCCAAATAATTCCTAGGTAATACATTAGCAAAAAATATTTTTATGTCCTTGAAAGATTGGAACATAATTCCACTTTACATCAAAATATGGTCAAAGGAGACTTTTCCCCTTGCATTCCTTACTAATTTATTTTTAAATATCCACTTCTCATGACAGCTGCCTTTGTCTGATTGTTTTCCAGTTAAGTATTACTTCAGTGCTTTTCTTCGTCCAGCAGCTTGTACAATATTGTTAGGGGCAAACTGAAATCGACAGTGGTATTTAGGTCAGGTGTGTAGCCTATCATAAACATGTGAAGGCCCAGTTAGGTTAGGGAACCCTGGATTCCTGAATGTTATTCCTTGATTTAACCTGGAATAGTATTTCTTGTGCTTCTTCATAGCTATTCAGCACATTGGAAACAGATTTATTTCAGGTTATTTTCGGGGGTGATAGGAGTAGACTGAATAATGGCTCCTCAGAGGTATCTACTTCCTAATTTCTGAAACCTGGGTTTGTGTTAGCTTATATGCTAAAGAGGCCTAGCAGGTCCAAATAAATTAAGGAGGTAGGGAGGCTGTATTATCTAGGTGAGCCCAATGTAATCACAAGGGACTTATACGCGGGAGGGAGGAGAGAGAAGATTTGTGTGATGTGGTCAGGAGCCAAGGAATGCCTGATGCTTCTAGCACCTGGAAGAGGTAAGGAATTGATTCTCCCATGTAGCCTCCAGAAGCAATCAGCCTTGCCAATAACTTGATTTTAGTGGTCTAAGACTCATTTTACACTTCTGATCTCTGAATTTATTATTTCTGATAATACATTTGTGTTATGTAAGCTACTAAATTTGTGATAACTTGTAGCAGCAATAAGAAAAAAAACATGAGGTTATTTAATGCAGAAATAATATTAAATCTTTGTAGTATTCTTTTGTAGATATAATTCTACAGTTCCCATTCTTCTGTAGATATGATTTCACTGACAAGTGCTGATGGGTAAGAACAAAACAATTTTTGAGCTATATATTGTTCATTGAATTATTCATATACCCATTTATTAATTCAAACAGGATTTGTTTCAAAAAATAATTGTCTCCCAGATGCACTTCACTGAAATAAATATTATTTGGAAGATGTACTTTGAGAAATATCTTTTGAGCTGAATCTCATTTATCCTTTGTATATATATTCACCACATTTTAAATTTATAAAGGAATCAGACATAAAATAACAAATTGGTTACAATCTTATGAGATTTTGTCTAAACATTGAGTACTTTCAATTCATTGGTTAAGATAAAGTGTGGATGTAAACCAACATAGCCTGTTTATTAGTGACTAATAAGAACCACCTTTACATAGACATGGTTCTCAAGGCACATGTTGTGATTGTATACTCTTTTTGTCCTGAAGCCACTCTGTAGCCAGATTATAGAGAAGATGTCTTTCCTCTGACTGGAGAAAGGGAAAAATCATGATAATCCTCAGGCAGGGGAAATGAATGCCACTTCTGTTTTCTTTCTGTTACCACAATGCAGCTATCATTCGATGTGATTGTGGAGCATGCCTGTCCCCTGCGTCTCTCCACTCAGTGCCTGGCTGATGTGGTTTGGTTGTGTCTCCACCCAAATCTCATCTTGAATGATAGGTTCTATAATCCCAACATGTCCTGGGAGGGACCCAATGGGAGGAAATTGAATCATGGAGGCAGTTACCCCCATGCTGCTGTTCTCATGATAGTGAGTGTGTTCTCATGAGATCTGATGGTTTTATGAGGGGCTTTCCCCCCTTTTGCTTGGCACTCCTCTTGCCTGCCATCATGTAAGATGTGCCTTTGCTTCTCCTTCACCTTCCACCATGATTGTGAGGTCTCACCAGCCATGTGGAACTGTGAGTCTGTTAAACCTCCTTTTCTTTATAAATTACCCAGTCTCGGGTATTTCTTCACAGCAGTATGAGAACGGACTAATACATTGGCCTTGAAACACTCTTAACTAAACAGCCAAGTTGGCATCCAATAATTCACACAAATTCACATAAAGGGGAACAAGCAATATACGTAATTTTAAAGATGCAAGAATTATGAAAGGACACTTAGTAATGACTGAAATGATACAGGAAATATTATACGAGAAAGGTATTTTTAGTAGATGTTAATGAAGGTAAAGATATAGAATAGCAAGTATTGATCAGAAAGGTAATTGGTCATTTGTTGTTAGCCAGAAGTAGAAAACTGATGCAGAAAGATAAAGAGAGAGAAACAAAATATGACTCTCAAAGAAATTAAAATTGAGAACTTATCTTATTATTTAAAATATTAAAAATGAATTTCTTGTTTTTAACTTTAATGTCATCTCCAATAACTTTGGGGAGTTGTAGAAATTGAGGCAACATAGCTTAATTGTAAAGAATGATCTAGAGCCAGATTGCCTGGGTTTATATCCTAGTTCTTCCCATAATTAGCTGCACATTCTTTGATAACTGACCCCTCTGAGCCTCATTTTTCTCAACTATAAAACAAGATCCTAATATTGCCTACCTCATAGGCTTATGATGAAGATGACCTAAGTTAAGAATTGCAAAATACTTAGAAATTCACAGACACAGTATTTCATATATATAGTTATCACTGTGCCTGGATAAATATATATATACACATACACATGCCTATATATTTCTTAAAAGGATCGTTCGTAGGGGGAGAAACCAGGGTATCCTGATATCAATATTTTTTAAAACTCTCCAAATGATTCTGATGTACAGCAAGGGTTAAAAGCCATTATCTGAACAAATAAACACTTTCTTTAATAATAAAAAAGTAGTAACTTTGCTTGCAAAAATATAATTTGTGGAATTTTTTGAGCAAGTTTTCAAAGGGAAAAATTACCTGACATTTTTACTCATTAATATATCTGTACTGTTGTTATGGAGACCTACTCCAATTTATATTTCTGTTTAAAATGAGAAAATAAGATCCACTAAGTGTATTTAATTTATAATCAAAATTCAAAATATTAGTCATAGCTAACCTTTAAAGCCTGATAAATTGTAGCTCTATGATGTGTGTTATTGAAGTATTTATGGATATTATGCTATAATTAAATCAAAACCCAATTAAAGTTTCTAGGATTTTCAGTTTTAATAATGCTGAAAAATCCAACTTTGTGTCTTAGCTTCAGAAGCATGTTTCTGTTCTGAATAGCCTGCAAGTGTAGATTTTTATTTAAAGGAAGAAAGAACTTAACAGATATATAGAGAAGCAGCAGCAACAATACCATCTGTGAATCTTTTGATTTTCTTTGCTTAAAATTTGGACTCATTAACTAGAATGTGCTCTTCAACTTTGATTTTTAAAAGTGTGACAGGTGGGAAATCCAAACTGTTTCATTTATCACACAGTTTGAGATGCTGAAATGAGAAGTGACATTTGGAATAAGTTCAGTGTCATGACCCCTTTCAGGATACAATTTATGGGTCTGTGAATGCACATGTGAATAATACCAAGCAAGCTATCACTGTGTCTGGATAAATATGCCTTACTCAAAAAAAAAATGAGAAGTAGACACAAACTAGCACATCCTAATTATTTTCTAGTTTATGTATGTGTCACATAGAAATGTTGAACATATAAAAATGTCAAATGAGGCAAAGTTAGATTTTAAAAAAAGCTTCGAATATTTTGTCAAGAATATTATTTTCTTAGGATATATGTTTTGCAAGAAGAGCTTTTAAAGTTTAAATTGTTTTTTAATTAAATAAACCAAAATGTAAGTACTTTTATAAGCAATTTGCAGAACACCATCACCTTACCATAAAAAATCCATGCTTGTAGATAAACAGGACATCATTTTAGAATAGGTAAAATAAATATGTAAAACAAGATAAACCTATTAAAATATGAAAGATACTGGTAAGTAGGAAATTTAGTTTAAACCTGGGGGCAGCGAATGAGCGTAGGTTTATTTCATACACTCACAGATCACTTTCTGCTTCTCGGATTGAGCAGGGAATTCACAAGTGTTCATCATATTAAAAATTGCAAATTGCATAATTGTTACAATATTTTATATGTTTCAAATATTCTACTTAGTAGATAAGAAAGTAAACTTTCACCTTTGGAAAGATGCATTAGGCATACTTTTCCATATTTTTTTATTGTTAAGTGAAGCTAAAAGCACTGGAAATTATACATAAACATAAGACGACACTGGAATGTGGAAAGAAGGTAGACCAGCTAGGGACCTCAGGACCTGAAAAATAACAAAATAGTGAATTCCATGGGTTTTCATTTTACCTCATATATCCTGGCCATGATACTCAGAGGTGACAGGGTGCTGGCAGTCCTCACAGCGCTCGCTCGCTCTCGGCGCCTCCTCTGCCTGGGCTCCCACTTTGGCGGCACTTGAAGAGCCCTTCAGCCCACCGCTGCACTGTGGGAGCCCCTTTCTGGGCTGGCCAAGGCCGGAGCCGGCTCCCTCAGCTTGCAGGGAGGTGTGGAGGGAGAGGCGCGAGCGGGAACCGGAGCTGCGCGCGGCGCTTGCGAGCCAGCTGGAGTTCCGGGTGGGCGTGGGCTTGGCGGGCCCCGCACTCAGAGCAGCCGGCCGGCCCTGCCGACCCCGGGCAATGAGGGGCTTAGCACCCGGGCCAGCGGCTGCGGAGGCTGTACTGGGTCCCCCAGCAGTGCCAGCCCACCGGCGCTGCGCTCGATTTCTCGCCGGGCCTTAGCTGCCTTCCCGTCGGGCAGGGCTCGGGACCTGCAGCCCGCCATGCCTGAGCCTTCCACCCCCTCCGTGGGCTCCTGTGCGGCCCTAGCCTCCTCGACGAACACCACCCTCTGCTCCATGGCGCCCAGTCCCGTCGACCACCCAAGGGCTGAGGAGTGCGGGCGCACGGCGTGGGACTGGTAGGCAGCTCCATCTGCAGCCCTGGTGTGGGATCCACTGGGTGAAGCCAGCTGGGCTCCTGAGTCTGGTGGGGAGGTGGAGAACCTTTATGTCTAGCTCAGGGATTGTAAATACACCACTTGGCACTCTGTATCTAGCTCAAGGTTTGTAAACACACCAATCAGCAAATCAGCACCCTGTGTCTAGCTCAGGGTTTGTGAATGCACCAATCCACACTCTGTATCTAGCTACTCTGGTGGGGCCTTGGAGAACCTTTGTGTGGACACTCTGTATCTAGCTAATCTAGTGGGGACGTGGAGAACCTTTGTGTCTAGCTCAGGGATTGTAAAGGGACCAATCAGCGCCCTGTCAAAACAGACCACTGGGCTCTACCAATCAGCAGGATGTGGGTGGGGCCAGATAAGAATAAAAGCAGGCTGCGCCAGGCAGCAGTGGCAACCCGCTGGGGTCCCCTTCCACACTGTGGAACCTTTGTTCTTTCGCTCTTTGCAATAAATCCCGCTAATGCTCACTTTTTGGGTCCACACTGCCTTTATGAGCCGTAACACCGCTAAGGTCTGCAGTTTCATTCCTGAGCCGGGGAGACCGCGAACCCACGAGAAGGAAGAAATTCCGAACACATCCAAACATCAGGAGGAGCAAACTCCAGACGCGCCACCTTAAGGGCTGTAATACTCACCGTTAGGGTCCACGGCTTCATTCTTGAAGTCAGTGAGACCCAGAACCCACCAATTCCGGACACAATACTAGGGAAAGCAGGAACCCAGAAACAGCAATGAAAAACAAAAGTCCACGAAATTGCCTCTCCTCTCAGAAGACTGTCAAGGCCTGGAAAGACTGGACACACACACACACACACACACACACACACACGCACAGTGTGTCAGAGAAAGCCAAGTGGGACATTGGGAGTTTCATTCAAGCTGGTTGATAACAAGCTCTCTTCCACCTTCAGTGTCCATGGAGAGCATGTGGGGAATCCAATTTCACTTCCACTTGGCAGTAACAATTAAGATTTCTGCTTATGCCTTTGTTTGTTCATTCATCCACTCAAAATATATTTTATAAGCACCAATTTTGTGTTGACATTTTTATTATTTCTGAAGATGTAGCAATAATAAAATAAGACAAAAAGATTAAATAAGACAAAATCTTTCTCTTCAGAAAGAACTCATTCTAGGGATGGGGCCAGAACATACAGAAAAGACATTTTAAATGCTTTATGCTACAGGATAAAAATTTAGATGGCAAAACAATAAGACAGATATGTAATTAGAAATAGAAGTATTTGAATTGTCACTTTAAGGTAAAAACCTGTATTTTTCCTTGGTGCTCTACTGAAACATTGTGCAATTGCTAGCTTCTTAAAGGCTTGTTACAATGTAGACTAAAAAACACAGTGACTTCTTAAAAATCCAGCTGCCTACAATCCATTGGTTAACCTTCATTTGGAATGACTTATTTAATGTATGATTTGTAGCATTAATCATAAATTATTTTGAAAATACTATTCACTGAGTTATGAAAGACTTGCATATTTTATAATATTATATAATATTAGAAAAATCTCTGTTGATATCACAATCTCATCAGAAAACTAAGTATGAGAAAGCTATGAAGCTTAAGATGTTAGATATATGTTTTCAAAATTTTAATTTTCACTTGAATCCAATTTTATCACAGACAACAAATACTGTAAAATTATTTTTTCCTTGAAATGACAAGCTTTATTTTCCAGAATATTCTTATCAAATATTCAATTCAAAACAATACTTTTTTTCTTTTTTCTTTTTCTTTTTTTTTTTTTTTTTTGAGACAGTTTCGCTCTTATTGTCCAAGTTGAAGTGCAATGGCGCGATCTTGGCTCACTGCAACTTCTGCCTCCAAGGTTCAAGCGATTCTCCTGCCTCAGCCTCCCGAGTAGCTGGGATTATAGGCACACACCACCATGCCCGGCTAATTTTTTGCAAATGAATACATTTTTAATAGTCACTTTTTCAAATAAACATAATGATTCATTAGATAAAAGTGCAGCTCATTTAGCTCGAAACTCACACAATTGCACAAGAGCTTTTTGTTGAATAAATTATACTTACATATACAGCAGAAGCACTTTATGTCTACTTCCTATTTAAAAATACATACACTTGATAGTGGAGACTTAGTAACTTTAATAAGTTTAAGAACATTCATTCATTTTATCAAGAGCATTCTTAAGTAAAACTGACATTCTAATTTGTGTGCATGGTAGAAAAAATGTAATCACTACTAGGAATATTTTGTGTCCTTGCTTTTATTTGGACTGAGACACCATCAATTTCACTTACTAGTGCTTTTTAACTATTATCGAAACTATCAATGCATTGAAAAAATATATACTGTGTCATATTATAATGAAAACACTACTAAAACTGAAGATTCCCTGAATGTGTATTAAGGACCCCAAGAGGTGCACAAGACACATTTTGAGATGCATTGTTCTAAGTAATAACCACTCAATAACTCTATTAAGTAGATAGTATTCTCTCTATTTTGCTAGTGAAGAAACTCAGTTACAGAAAGTGAAGAAAATTGCCTAGTTTTTCCTAGCTATTAAGTGGTAAATCTGAGATTTGAACTCATGCAATCTGATTTAATAGTCTACCCAATTCACCACTATTCTTATTGACCTTCTAAGTGTTTCTGTGTCTGTTTCACAGTGTTTTTTTATAAATTGGAACCACCTTTTTTAAATTTCTACAAACCCATAGTATGATACACAGTGAAACCTCAAAATATGTTGGTGAATTAATTCTGAAAAAGTAGATGAGATACTCTATATCCATAACACTTCTATTAGTTTAAATATATTTAGCAAAATTGTACATAAAAACTCTGGGCCTGGCGCAGTGGCTCATGCCTGTAATCCCAGCACTTTGGGAGGCTGAGGTGGGTGGATCACGAGGTCAGGAGATCGAGACCATCCTGGCTAACCAGATAAAACCCCGTCTCTACTAAAAAAATACAAAAAAAATTAGCCGGGCATGGTGGCGGGCGCCTATAGTCCCAGCCACTCGGGAGGCTGAGGCAGGAGAATGGCGTGAACTTGGGAGGCGGAGCTTGCAGTGAGCCCACATCATCACGCCACTGCATTCCAGCCTGGGCGACAGAGCAAGACTCCCTCTCAAAAACAAAAACAAACAAACAAACAAACAAAAAACCCTCTGAATCTTCTAGGAAAATAGGGAAGAAAGCCAAGAAAGCTAACGTGAAACTCTGGACAAGAAATATTTTCCCACTAGAAGAGATATTACTAATACAGTTGAAAAACCTGTTGCCACTTTTTCATTTTTTATATTTAATTTTGTGGGTACGTAGTAGGTGTATATATTTATGGAGTACATGAGATATTTTAATACAGGCATGCATTATGAAATAAGCGTGTCAGGGAAAATGTGGTATTCAATCTCTCAAGCATTTATCTTTTGAGTTATAAACGATCCAATCACATTCTTAAAGTTATTTTTACATATACAATTAAGTTATTATTGACTATAGTCACCCTATTGTGCTGTCAAATAATAAACATTCTTTATGTATGACTACTCAAACCAATATCAAATGTTCTACTGTGATTTTTTTTTTATTTCTTCTAAAAAAAAGGGAGGGGTTACATGTGCAGAACGTGCAGGGTTGTTACATAGGTATGCGTGTGCCATGGTGGTTTGCTGCACCTACTGACCCATCCTCGAAGTTCCCTGCCCTAACTCCCCACCCCTCAACAGGCCCTAGTGTGTGTTGTTCCCCTCTCTGTGTCCATGTATTCCCAATGTTCAACTCCCACTTACAAGTGGGAGCATGTGGTTTTGTTTTTTGTGTTAGTTTGCTGAGGATAGTGGCTTTCAGCTTCATCTGTGTCCCTGCAAAGGACATGATCTCATTCCTTTTTATGGCTGCATGGTATTCCATGGTGTATATGTACCACATTTTCTTTATCCAGTCTATCATTGATGGGCATTTGGTTTGGTTCCAAGTCTTTGTTAATAGTGCTGCAATAAATATGTGTGTGCATGTGTTTTTATAGTAGAATGATTTATATTCCTTTGGGTATATACACAGTAATGGGTTTGCTGGGTAAAATGGTATTTCTGGATCTAGATCCTTGAGGAATCACCATACTGTCTTCCACAATGGTTGAACTAAGTTACATTTCCCACTAACAGTGTAAAAGTTTTCCTATTTCTCCACAGCCTCATGAGGATCTATTGTTTCCTGACTTTTTAATAATCACCATTCTGATTGGCGTGAGATGATATCTCATTGTGGTTTTGATATGCATTTCTCTGATGATGAATGATGTTGAGTTTTTTTCATATGATTGTTGGCCACATAAATATCTTCTTTAGATAACTGTCTGTTCATATCCTTTGTCCACTTTTTGATGGGGTTTTTTGTTGTTGTTGTAAATATTAAATGTTCTCTGATAAAATAGAAGGAATGTAGCTTAGCAATGGAAGAAGAAATTAGAGAAAGTCTAGTAAAGTAACATCATTGATGGCTACATTGGGGTTAGATATGATTCGAAGCATACATTTTAAAGCTGGCAAAACAAAAATTAGAAATTCAGGTAATAAAATGTTAGAGACATTATAAAAGTTAGTGATATAAAGATAACGATACAGCAAAACCAATAACATTCCTATAAAAAAAGCAATACAGAAAGAACCAAAGAAAACAAAAGACACAGAAGAAACACAATAAACATAACATTATACATGCAGCAAATACAGGATAAAATAATATGACAAAATTAATATTAAACATAAGTGCAATGACAAACATAAATAAAATTTGTTGGTATGTATATATTTTTATTAGAGAATATAACAAGGATGATTACATATCACAAATGAGCATAAATTATCTTTTAATATTAAATATTAGTGTGATTCTAAAATTATACAAGTTGTTATAATGGAGAAAAGGTGATTGGGGACTAGAGAGATTTAGACTTCAAATACAGCATTATTTTTCCTTGTGAAAATATCATTATTAAAGATATTTCTGTGCTTTACATTAAAAGTACACAAGCACTAATTAGATTCACTCAAAGTTTCAAAAAATATATCCATACATTTACAGTGAATAAAGACATAAAATTCACAATTTAAATGTTTTCCAACCCACCTCAAAACAAATTTATTGCTTGATCACAAGGAAAACTATTTTAGAACCAAATAATAAAATATAGTTTATAGATAAATATAATAGATAATAATCATTAAATCCAATAATGAAAATAAGGCTTCCCAAAAAATAAATGAAAATCACATTGAATAATATTTAAGATGAATATATTTTTATTTTTTCCAGCTTAGGAATATTTTATTCAGGGCCATGGGTACACATATACTGATATTAAGCAACTAACTCCATCAAATTATGTGTAAATGATAATAGTGCTAGAAGGCCAATGCTACTTAATTTCCTTTTTTCTCTAATATTTTTAATAGTTCTAGTAATAGAATCATTAAAAAAGGTATCAAGTTTTTACGTTTGGAAACTACCAATATTGATCGAGAAGATGGCAATCAGCAGAAGGAATGATCTCTAAAAAACATTTATAAATTGTCTTGAGGCAAAATAGAAGACCACGTAAGGCTCAAAGGTGGTATAATATTTCTATCCACTTACGTTTCTAGCTCACTGTACCACAGATAAATCTCACTGAAAAGGAAACAATTGTCAAATATCTGTTGTCAGAAAGCTATGTTCTAGTATAAACAGACTCATGGTACACTATTCTTTTTCTACGTTGATACTACATTTTTACTTTCATAAACGGACAATAATTTTAAGCAAAATAACACATCTAGTGACAGCAGTGAATATAGAGTGTCACTTTAATGTGGAAATATGAAACTGGCAAGAGATAGAGGAAAGTCTAGAAAAATAAGCAATTGGAACACTGCATTAGTGTTATACTTTCATTCTTTGGGACTGGATAAGGACTGTGACTACTTTATAATAAATGCCACTTGCCTTTGAGAGGGACAAGGTCAAGGGATTTCTCCTTATAATGGCAAATCCGCCAAAAGTAAAGAGTGGAATGAAAAAATAGGCCATTCTTCCAAATATTTTAAATGAATGTTCACTAATTATGAGTGGATAATGATTGAATTTAGGATACACAGGGAGAATATATTTACCATATTCTGAGGAATCATATAGAACAGAAAATAAGACCTCCTAATCAAAGCTGAGGTAACATAAACATTTTAATGAATAATAAACACAAAAGACTAATGAGAAAAAAAATCATTTTATTAAAAAATAAAACATGCTCAAGATACTGAAGAACAAAATATATTTTATAAAAGCATTTACTAATAGTATTAGGAGAAGGGATCTCATCTTTTTCCTAGTGTATTTGAGTATCCTGTAAATACTCAGTTAAGTTTTATTTGTAGCTTAGCATTTTCCTAGGAGTGCAAGAGCTATGTACTGAAGAAATAGTAAGTCTGATTTCTTGTTTTTTACTTTATTCTACCAGTCTGCTTTAATATATTTGGGCCAGTAAAACACTGCTTTAATTTATTTTAACCTATAAAACATTTCATTGTCTTGCAGATCAACTTCCTCTAATTATTTTTCTTTTAAAAACTCCTCAGCTCTCCTCATTTATTCTCTAAAATGATGTCAGAATAATTTTGCCAAGTTTCAATTTTCCCATCAAAGTTTTAAATTGAATAAATTTAAATTTGTATGGAGTTTTATAGGAAATTAACATTTTTATATTATGTCATCTTATTCAGGAACATAATATTCTATCAATTTCTTAATGCCTTTTCTAATGTTCTTGACTGGCTAGTACAATAATCAAAAGTGTGTGATAAAATATGAGAGGTTCACATTTCCAGGACTTGCCTGTGACAAAACAAAGGAGGGAAAATATTTTAAAATATTTCAAATTTTTGGTAAAATTTCTTCCTCCTTCCTCTTCTTCTTCTTCTTCTTCTGCCGCTGCTGCTGCTGCTGCTGCTTCTGCTTCTTTTTCTGCTTCTTCCTCTTCTTCTTCTTCTTCATTTAGGTACATCATAGCTGTATTTACAGTTGTATTTAGACACACCTATTAATAATAAGATTAGTACTTATTATTTCGTTTTTAGATATTCGTTGATAATTATGAATGTTATGGACTTTGGTGCAAAATTTTATATCAAGACATGTATTTGAAACACTATCTTATATGAAATACCATCTGGTAGTATGACATGACTTGAGTATGGATATTGAAGTCTTGGACTAAACTCACCTCCTTAACATTTATTATGTAGCATTTGGCAAATAAGTTAACTTTTGGAGATGTAATAGGAGAAATGGTTTAAGGACTAAGTTAGTTGCCTCTTAGTGAACCCCAGAAAAATGACTGAACAACTTAAACTCTGTGTTTAGGCTAGCTGATATGTAGTACCTACTGTCAATAATGTATTTCGGAAAATTCCGAGAAGGGATATTCCTCTTTTATCATTAAAAACATGCTTGAAGCCATTGATAAACCTGTCTTGGTCAAACTGTATTATTCTTTTAGCATGCTAGATTGAATGCGTAAAATATTGATGAGAAATTTTGTATAATCTTACCTTTTGTGCTATATTTGTTAGATTGTATTAACAAGTTATGTTTCATATAATGTGTTTGAAATGTTTGGAGAAATAGAATCCATACTTCAAAGTCTTTTTAAAAAAACACAGATGCTTCTCAAGTTACATAAAGCGCACACCTGCAAACTCATCTGTACTTGGTACCTTTTTGTTAGAAATATTTTTCAATCCCTTTCATGGTTACACACTTATATAGATTATTTAGTTATACTTTATTTAATTTTAATATCTGAGGTCTATCTAGTATTTACTGTGTGTTCCAGCTATGGGCTGTTGATTCCTATGCTTCATCACATATTAACTGTTTACCATATGGTTATGGTATGGTTAACCATTATTAGTGGTTCTAATATTTCAATATACATGGCAAGGTTGCACAACTTCTCTCCTTGATGTTGGGTGAAACCATGTTAATTGTTTTGGCCAGTAAAACATGAGTGGTATTGATGTGTGAAATGAAGGAAGAAGCCAAAGAGTGCAAGCATGTGATTGTTTTTCCATGCTCTCTGTGCCCTCCCTTCTGGAGCTTACTGGCTGTATTAGTCAGTTTTCATGCTGCTGATAAAGACAAACCCGAGACTCAGCAATTTACAAAAGAAAGATGGACCTACAGTTTCATGAAGGTGGGGAGGCCTCGCAATCAAGGTGGAAGGTGAAAGGCCCATCTCACTTGGCAGCAGGCAAAAGAAGAGAACTTGTGCAGGGAAAGGCCCCTTTACAAAACCATCAGATCTCATGATACTTATTTACCATCATGAGAATAGCATGAATAAACCAGCCCCAATGATTCAATTACCTGCCACCAGGTCCCTCCCACAACACGTGGGAATTGTGGGAGCTATATTTCATATGAGATTTGGGTGGGGACATGGCCACACCATACCATTCCACTCCTGGCCCCTCCTAAATCTTATGTACTCACATTTCAAAACCAATTTTGCCTTCCCAACAGTCCCTCAAATCTTATTTCAGCATTAACTCAAATGTCCACAGTTCAACGTCTCATCTGAGACAAGGCAAGTTCTTTCTGTCTACGAGCCTGTAAAATCAAAAGCAAGTTAATTACTTCCTACATACAATGGAGGTACAGGCATTGGGTAATTACAGCCATGCCATTCCAAATAGGAGAAATTTGCCAAAACAAGGGGTTACAGAAATCCATCAGGGCAGTAAAATATTAAAGCTCCAAAATGATCTCCTTTGATTCCATGTTTCACATCCAGGTCATGTTGATGCAAGTGGTGAGTTCCAGTTTGGTGAATGAGGGCCAGTTTTGCAGCTCTGGCCCTGTGGCTTTACAGGGTACAGCCTCCCTCACAGTTGCTTTCATACTTTGGAGTTGGGTGTCTTGCACATTTACCAGGAGCACGGTGCAAGCTGTCAGTAGATCTACCATTCTAGGGGCTGGAGATTGGTGGCCCTCTTCTCACAGCTCCACTAGGCAGCACCCCAGTGGGGACTGTATGTGGGGCTGCCCACCCCACATTTCCCTTCTGCATTGCCCTAGCAAACTTCTGCCTGGACATCCAGGCATTTCCATACAACCTCTGAAATCTAGGCAGAGGGTCCCAAACCCCATTTCTTGACTTCTATGTAGGCTAAGGCTCAACACCATGTGGAAGCTACTAAGGACTGGGGCTTGAGCCCTCTGAAGACATGGCCCAAGCTGTACCATACCTTGGCCCCTTTTAATTATGGCTGCAGTGGCTGGGATGCCGGGCACAAGTTCCTGGACTGCAAACAGCAGAAGAACCCTGGGCCCAGACCACAAAACTATAGTTTACTCTGAGGCCTCTCGGCCTGTTACCGGAAGGGCTGCTTCAAATATTTCTGACATGCCCTGGAGACATTTTCCCCTTTGACTTGCTGACTAATGTCAGGCTCTTTGTTACTTATGCAAATATCTGCAGCCAGCTTGAATTTCTCCCCAGGAAATGGGATTTTTTTTTTTTCTATTGCATTGTCTGGCTGCAAATTTTCCAAACTTTTATGCTCTGTTTCCCTTTTAAAACTGAATGCCTTTAACAGCATCCAAGTCACCTCTTGAATTCTTTCCTGCTTAGAAGTTTCTTCCACCAGATACCCTAAGTCATCTCTCCCAAGTTCAAAGTTGCAGAAATCTCTAGGGCAGGGGCAAAATGTTACCAGTCTCTTGACTAAAACGTAACGAGTCATCTTTGCTCTGATTCCCAGCAAGTTTCTCATCTCCATCTGAGACCACCTCAGCCTGGATTTCATTGTCCATATCATTATCAGCATATTGGTCAAAGCCATTTAACAAGTCTCTAGAGAGTTCCAAACTTTCCCACATTTTCCTGTCTTCTTCTGAGCTCTCCAAACTGTTCCATCCTCTGCCTGTTACCCTGTTCCAAAGTTGCTTTCACATTTTTTGGTATCTTTTCAGCAGAACCCCACTCTACTGGTAGCAATTTACTGTATTAGTCTCTTTTCACACTACTGATAAAGACATACCTGAGACTGGGCAATTTACAAAAGAAAGAGGTTTAATGGATTCACAGTTCCACATGGCTGGAAAGGTCTTACAATCATGGCAAAAGGTGAAAGGCATGTCTCACATGGTGGCAGACAAGAAAAGAGAACTTGTGCTGGGGAATTTCCCTTTATTAACCCACTGTATCTCATGAGACTAATTCACTATCATGAAAATAGCATGGAAAAGACCCACCTCCATGATTCAATTACCTCCCACCAGGTCCGTCCCACAACACATGGGAATTGTGGGAGCTTCAGTCAAGATGAGATTTGGGTGGGGATATAGCCAGACCATATCACTGGCAATACTTCAGATCATCTGAAATGTTTTTTGTTTTGTTTTGTTTTGTTTTTTTTATCACTCTGGGTTCTTGTGTAAAAATGACATGTAAAAGAACTAATATAAAAATACCTATATTAAATAGATTTGTAGTGTGAGAAAGAAATATATCTTGACTCAATTGGCTATTTATTCCTAACAGGAAGTTAAAAGAGAAATAACAATAAAAAGGGATAGCTTTCTTTTCCAAATCCTAGTTCTTGGCTTCCAAGATGTCATTAAAAATACAAAGCTTCAGTTTTTGAATTTTAGTTTATATATGTAAAATAAATCTTGGAAAAATCAGGTTATCAGAAAATTAGTATACTATGCAATCACTATTCCAGTAAGGATAATGTAAAAATACCTTGAAATTATATCAGAAGAGTACTTATTATATGTCTGTTCCAATCTTGGCATAAAACTAATGACTTCCAAGATATATTTGAGGTGAATCTGAACATATAGCCAGTGATTTAGTTTCACAAAATAGGTAAAAAAGAATTATTTCAAAATGAATTTGTGACATAAAGCTGTAAGGAAGAATTTTACCAAATGACAGATTAACTATTTCTAAAAATTTTTACTCATAGATATATATAGATAATATGTTGTTGGTACAGTTTCTAAATATAAATGTAAATTGTATAAATTTATATATGTATTACTCAAAAGATTCTACAGTCCTCAAAGAAACACAAACAGAAGTAAAAGGCAATCAACTACTTAAATAAATTTATATAATATGTAATAAACATATGTATATGTAATAAACATAAAATATGTATTATACAAATTGTTCTTATAGATTAATAAAAAATTTGTTAAATTAAAAATTGGGTAAAGGACATAAGTGTAGAATCTGTAAACAAATATGTATGTTTAATATTTTGTTTATCATTGCTAAAAACTAAAAAATTCAATTTTATAATGAATCATTTTACCCATGAATTTGACCAAGAGGAATACTTTTATGTTACTAGATAAATGTGCGAAACAAATACTCATATACTTTTTGTACGTGAATTTGTGTAAACTCCTTTTGAGATCATTACTGCAGTACAAACACAGGTCTTAAAAATATTCATATTGTTTTACTCAATTAACTTCTTAGGATCCTAAATTTAAGAAATAATTAGGGGTGGTCTCATAACCATAATTGTAATTATCATTTTAATTATTATTTACAAAAGTTATTTGTAAACAACTTACGTAAGAAAAACTGGAGTATTAAAACAAAGCTATAGAATGCCCTACAGTAAAGGAATACCATCTACTATACTGAATTCCAAAATATGGTTGTATTTTCATGATATAGAACTTGACGTGGAAGAAAAACAGACAACAGAAATCAGAAATCTAAGCTTTTCATAATGTAATTTGCTTAATTTTTAAGAAATAAGATAGAATCTATATGTCACATTCATATATAAATTTATACCAATATCACAGTATCGTATTAAATTATTAAACCAGAATCTACTGTGTAACTTTTCACACATTTTCTTATTATACATGTACTGTGACTTTTGCTTATTAAGTAGAGACATGCATTGCCTCAGGAAAGCGATACATTCTCAGAAGATGGTCGTCAAACATCCAAATTATTGCTGTTTTACACACCAAAATAGACTTGACACTTATGAATAGATTATTGTTCTTAAAAATGTTCCCAGAATTTGTATTAAAAATTACAAATATAAAGCAACATTGAAAATAGTTTTACAGTGAACAACTGCATACGCTTCTACATTTTACCACTAATTTTTACTCCACTTGCTTTATAACAAGTCTATTAATTTATACATCACTTTGTTTAACCTTTTCTTTGTATACTTTTATAAGTGAAATACATGTATTACTCTGCTTTATTCTAAATACTTCATCATGTGTATCACTAAAAGGAAACTTGGGTTTAAGAACTAAGATGTGGAACATGCAGAGCCTGCTAACTCTTAACAATACATTAGGAGACAATATATGGGAAAATGAAATACTTCATGCTCATTATTATATATATGTTACATGGGCAAATGATGCAGATTTAGAAAGAAAGGCTATAGAACATTACTTTGTTACTGGTCCCTGCAAAGGTCCTAATCCCCAGTGGGAGGAAAACTGTATGCAATAGAAACCCTGGGTGTTTAGAAGGATTCCTGGTCAAGCAGACTATTTAGAGTGGTTGATTTATTTTTTTTTTCCCTGTTGTTTTTCATCAATCATCATCAAACATCTCAAGGAAGTTTGCTGTGCCAAGATACCACCTGGGTTTCCTCTTTGCAGAGAAAAGGATGAGAGAACATCCAACTGTTTTGAGAAGGATGAAGAATTACTGAGAAGAGTGTCCATAAATATAAAAAGATAAGGACAAAAAAGAGCTCAGCAGTCTATGACCACAAATGGTGAGAGAACAAAAGATGGCTTTCAATCAGATACTCCCTCCTCGCTGATATACGTTATTTACATAGCTCTGATGTATAGGCTATCCTTGGGAAGACAAAATGGTGGGTAAAAAATCCAAAATTATTAAACAGAAAATACCTTACAAAGTTAACATTTAATAATCTCTATAGAATTGATTACTAACTTGTATTTTATACTATCAGGGAGAAATAAGTCTTGAAAATACCACAGTCTGTAGATAAATAAAGACATTTGCGAATATTTCACTCCCAAGTTTTTGTTTCTTTTGTCAGAAAATATTCTGAATAAGACTAGATTTTTAAATACGTTGTAAAAAAAATGTATTCCGTAAAAGTTGAAAACAGTGATACATTCAGCTCAGAAATACATGTTGTTGTTTATTGATAATTCAGGGAAGAACCTTTGGGCATTTATATTTGGGCATTAGTTGCACACAGTTAAGTCTAATTTTGAATGGAAAATGACTTGGGTAAAAATACTCTGTTAATAATCATTTCCAGTGGGATGTTTAAGTTGTCTTTGTTTAAACTTTCTCCTTTGTCTCTCAAGCCTTAAAGAACTTTGCTTTCCCAAATGAAATAGGCTTAAATTAGCTGTGTACTAGGGTATTGGATGATGGGCCTTTATTCATGCTTGATAGGAAAGTCACAGGGAACAACAGCTACCTGAGTGCACTAAACTAGTGATATAAGAGGGAAATAATACAGTGTAGGGCAAGGACCCACTCATGAAATATCTAAGCATAAAAATTTCTTGAGAGTTATCAAGATTAATATGATAAAATAATCTTCTGTAGTTAAGGAAGGTAGAAGCTTGCAAAATACAAATTTGTGTATCACAAATTTGTGTATCTAAAGAAAGGTAACATTATTTTTGGTTTTAAACTAAGAAAACATGTCCTCAAAAGATATTCTCCACAATGCTATTATCAGATAATTCAAGGCAGGGGAACACAGTAATACTTATTTTCTTCAGCATTTGTCTCTGTGTTTCCAAATATATAAAATGAATAAGTATTAATCTGTCAACTCTCCATCCCCACCAATAATAAAATAATGCTTTAAAAACCCTATGGCAGACTATTTTGTCTTTTTTCTTTATATATGTAAAATTTATAATATATATATTTTCTTTATATATATATAAAGAAAAAAGACAAAATCACACACACACACACACACACACACATATATATATATATATATATATATATATATATATATATATATACACACACACACACAGAGAGAGAGAGAGAGAGACTGAGAGAGAGAGAGAGAGAGACAGGGTCTTACTCCATCACCGAGGCTGGAGTGCAGTGGTGTGATCACAGCTCACTGCAACCTTTACCTCCCGGGGTCAAGCAATCCTCCCACCTCAGCCTCCTGAATAGCTGGGACTACAGGTGGGTGCCATGATGTGGGGCTAATTTGTATAGTTTTTGTAGAGATAAGGTCTCACTTTGTTGCCCAGGCTGGTCTGAACTCCTGGCTTGTAGCAATCCTCCTGCTTTCCCCTCCCAAAATACTGGGATTGCAGGTTTGAGCCACGGCACCTAGTCTGATCATAAAAGTTATTGATAAACATTTTTAAAAGAGATAATATTGTATTGGCCAAATTTTCACCAATGTGCTGCAAAAATAAATAACCTAGATCTGTTAGTGGCTTATACCAACAAATGTTTATTTCTTACTCAAACAGCAAGTCTGTGCATATCAATCTCATCTTGCTGCACTTCATCTTCATTCCAGTACTCATCCTCTATCTGGGTGCATTCAAAATCATTGTGGGTAAGAAAAAAATACATGGGAAAATTGTGCAATAGCTTTAAAGCTTCTGCCAAGAAGTGGCATATGGCACTTCTGATCACATTTCATTGGCCAAACAAGTCAACCCTGAAGTCTCCAGGGCAGGTCTATGTAATCTTGCTTCAAAAAAGAGCAAGACAGGAAGGAAAATTGAACATTTAGCAAAGAATAATGAATCCTATCATAAGCATATATTTAAATTTGACATGTAATAAATATATTAACTTCACACTTTACCAATTTTGAATTCCATTAAAATTTATAATACATATTAATATACTTGTAAATTTAAACTAATAGGTTTTGTTTAACTACCTCAATATCTTACTAAGGTGATCATATACTGATTTTGCTTTTCTAACAGTGATTCCATTTCCTAGTAGGAGTGTCTGAAATATCTTTTGGGAACTATATCTTGCCCACTTTGAGTTCATATATTCCAGATGGTACTGTACCTGTAGCTCCAAGTTTGCTGTATGTGACCCTGGCATGTGTCAGAGAGCACAAATACTCCATAACCACAGTTGTTAGTTCAGGAGTAGACATGTGACATGTGTTTGTTCAAAAAATAAAATTAGGTCACTCTGGCCACGTTGATTTATATTATATCATTTGAAACATAACTGTTATAATATTTCAATCAAAACTAATCTTAGACATGTATAAAAGCTTGTAAGAAAAAAAATACCTTCTTTTAAAAATTTTCTACTTCCTATTCTCTTTCTTTATTTTTCTTTTTTATTTCTAGGATTACACCTGAAAGGATGTAGGCCTACCCACTTGCTACCATTTTTTCACTATGTCACCATGCCAGGGAATTAGTCAAAAGATGAAGAGGTGAAAGATGTAGAGAGGATTAGATCTGATGACATGTGAAAGTATGAAGCATAAGGTGTACCTGAATATGGAAATGAAAAAAAGAGAAAGCAACAAAGCTAATGGCAAGAACCCATTTCTGAAACATGTAAACTATGAAATGATGTAACTTATTGAAGTAAATACCCTTTTCTTTAAATCACCAATTGGCAGTGAGTTTCCTTGTTATCTGAAAACAAAAGTACCAACTAATTCAAATTCTATTTAGAATAGTACACATGCTTACTTCGTGAGGTTTTACCATTTCTACAGCTGCTAATTTGCCATAATTGCCAGGCTCAGGCCTTTTTCATGTTGGCAAAGGCGTAACCTAGCTGACTCCCATGAAAGGAGACAAAACAATGTATTCATGTTAATCCTGGAGGTGAGAAAACATAAATCAGTTTCAAGCTGTAAGCGGGGTCAATATAAATTTAATAGTTGTCTATAAATAATGAGTAGAGTGGATTGAGGCTAATTATTACTTAAAGAGATAAAAGTGCATGATTTTCCAGGTTGATCTAAAGACATGAATCTTTGGATTCAGGAATCATGATAACTTCAAGTAAGAATAGTACATTTTCAGTGGAAATTTCTGTCAATATGTACCTATGTTTTAATTACCAGTATATCACTTTTCCCCCATAGAATATGATACTGAACTATAATGACCTCATGTCTAGACTTAAGCTTTTAACATTGCTTCTGCTCAAGGGGTTCTAATGTGTTTCAAAAAGCAATCAATCACATGCCAAAAGCTGCTAGATAATGACCTCCAAGGTTTTCTAAAAATTTTAAATCTTTTTTTATATGAATCATATTTCTATAAAATTCTCTAATCAAGGTGCAGTTCAGGGTGTCTGCCTCTATTCAATAATCTATAAACACTTATTGAAAGGGTAACCTTCTTATTGTGATATTCAAAGAATATAACAAGTAAATATATATTTTTAATTTTTAAACTCATATGCTTTTACAAATCTACTGGGGATATCTTTAAATCCTTTATCAGCATCTCAATCCAGAAAAATACAATGTCAAACTATTTTGACATCTAAGAGCAATCAAATTTTACTATTTTTTAAACTTACACATTAACCACAAAGTGTTTTCTCTTAATGTATACTTTTATGCATATCTAATTTAAAATAAATTAAAGGGAATGGTGTTATTGACCTGTCGGAAAACTAGTTAATGCAGAATTGAATACGTATACATTGTAAAATCAATCTAGGATGTAATTCAGAGTTGGTCTGTGTAATATGAAAAGTTAGTAAAACATCTGAAGTTGGAATGTAAGTAAATGTCACCCTTTTTCATATGCATGCTTAGAATGTTGAATATATGGTCCAATCAAATAATGCGATGTGTGATTTGCTTTTTGATGGGTGGGAGTTAATAGAAAGGTAAGAAGAAAATGAAATGAAAAAGAAATGAAAGACCAAAGATTATAATTATCCTAGATTGAGAATTGTTAAGCTTAAAATTAAGTAAAACGTTTAAGAATATTTCAAAATACTCAGTTTTAAAAGTAAGAAAGTTTCTGATCTGGGCCACCAGAGATAACTGATGATCACATAGTTATAAGACTACCCATAAACTTCACAGTTCTTAATGAACAAGGCAGATGGTGGGCATTAGGAATTGATAACAAGTTAAAGTTTATTTGCCAAGCAGTTATTCGCCAAGTTGTAAAAATATAGCTAGTACAAGTTATACTGCATCAAGAACCATAGACTAAGAATAGCTTGTATGGATTCAAAATTTTTGCTATGTATTATGTTGCTAAATCTTACAATTTGAGTTGCCATTAGATCGTTGATGAAAGACGAAATGAAGTCCAATAGGTGTTTGCACTCACTGACTATACTTTCTACTTTGCTATAGTTAATGCTAAGAAAAATTATTCGAAATAGTGTAAATAGGTAATTTTTAAAATGTCAGTTCCAAAGTGTATAAATCTTGTCTTTGTTTTTTAAATTATTGACACTAAAATGTAAGTAGTTTTTATTATAAAGTATTTCAGATCCTTTAAGTTACCTATTATGTGTTGTGAATCTGCAAGAGAGAAACAAAGAAAGAAAACATGTATCAGCAATATTTTACTTGACCTTTTGTTGTCAAAGCCTCTAAAAATAATGCTTACAACTACCATAACTCAAATATGGCTTAGAAACCCTATTTTATTTCAATAACTTATGGGGGAAATAATTTTACTAGTTTTTCATTAAAATTTATTTTCTATTTATTATTAACCAGCCCAGAATTCTACAACATGCCTTTGAGAAAATGAATACAATTTTGAAAAATATCACAAATAGATCACTATACCTATCAAAGGAAAGATGAATTGTGCATATATTTTTCTATTTAATTTTCAAATTTTATAACTTTACATGTCATTCGAATAGAGCACATCACACCTGAATTTAGAAAACATGCAGAATAATTATACGGAAGTTTATAATATGTTAATATGTTTGGATTCTTAAAAGTGAGCAAAGGGGTGGATGAAAGTTTATACTTGGGCCCATTTTTATTAGTTACTTTATTAAATACTTTATTGTGTTCAAGAAGTCATCCTAAAATTCTCCCTGGTTCTAACTTTCTCATTGCTACAGTAAGAGCTGCATTTCAAGTATCAGTTCAGATAATTTGGGGAGCAGTGAATTGTAGAGCCAGAAATATCAAAGGATGTGGAGCAAGAAAGGAAAGAAAATACTCTGAATTTCACATCTCAAGAGAACGCTACCTAGTGCCTTTCCAGGATCAAAAGAAAAAAAAATTAACCTTGTATGCGATTGCATAAATTCTTATGGAAAACCACTACATTTTCTATGCAATATTTATAAAGATTTCTAACAAGAAATTTAAAATCTTGTCATTTAAATGTAAACTGCAAATACAGCTTTAAACATCAACAAAATCAGCAAATGATTAAAATTGTCACTTGTAATAAGCACTACTTTTGGTTTATGTATGAGATAATTACAAGTCTTTGCTAGAAAATTCAATAAATCCCAGAATTGTTATTTTCTAAAATCTATTTTTATGGAAATTAGAATCTGAGTATCCCATTTATTACAGCAAGATAACTTTGCAAGTTTTTCTGACAGACTCAATCAAAAACTCTGTCGACTCATGAAAAGTAATTGTTTCTGAAGGCTGCAGAAAAGTATTTTATTTTCTAAAACTAAGTGCTTTAATATTGAAATGTAGCAAGCGTTATAATTTTCATCACAAACCAAATTTCATAATATGCAGATACCAGTTTTGGCAGAGAACTCAGAAAAATAAGTAAATATAACAACATTTTAAAATATATTTGATAAATTTTCAAAACCTGATTCACTTATAGCATAATTTTTCCTAAAGTAAAATGTTTTATACAGGTCAGCTTCCTTATTGCTCATTATTTACCGCCATATCTAAATGCATAGTGATTTTTTTTTCTGTTACGTTTTCCTGTTATTTCATGTATCAATTATTCAAGGATACACAAATGGTTACCCAGGGTAAGATATCTTAAAAAGCTTGAGTCCCACACTAGCCAATAATTTGGTATCAACCAAGCTGACAACCATGTATCTAATGTCATTAATTCAATTGAGCCAAATTTTTCTTAACATGATATTTAATATTAGCCCTACTGAGGCCACATGTTAAAGTTTAAAAACAAAGAGTAAATGGAAAATTCTAGGTACAGGAGAATTTATTTATTCATGTAACAATTGAATTTAAACTTCTCAGCTACACTAAATCTTTCCTGAAGCATTTTTAACGTATTTTTAATTCATTTAAAATTGAGCAAAGTAATACATGGGTAAGAGCTAGAAAAAAAGAGAAGTTTTCATCTTTCTTAAACTCTTTTAACTATACATTTTATATATACCTAAAATATGTTTATAATACCATCCTCCCTTATTTTTTTGTAACTTATAGTTTTATTGACTTTCTCATACTATGTTGATGTATACTATTTATGTGCTTCCCGTGCTTCTCTTGCTACAAAGCTGAAATACTATTTTATACCTCTGTTTTTAATCTTTTGAACTTTAACAGTTTTACTACTTACTGTTTTTTCAACCATAGATACTTTCTCCTGTCTCTACTTTGAAAAATAAACACTTTAGTCTCTTCAATTTATTTCAGCAAAACTCACATTTTTTTTACTCCTAACTTGGGTATTATGTATGCTATTTTTCCCTTGTTATGATTAATATCATTTCCTTCAAATTCTGTAACTATAATTAAGGGTATTTTTAAAGGTTGGTTCAAATTTTATTCTAAAATTTTAAAATTTTTCAATGGTTGTTACATTGATATGGAAATGAAAACGATCTTACTAAGTATCATATCACATATACTTATTTAGTTGAATACTTATTTATTTTATTTGAAGATTCTAGTAATATATCATATCCTTGCTTAGTCATTCTGAGATTCAATTTTTTTAAAAATGATATTTTCTATAATTTCAGGAGAGGATCAAGTACATGAAATTCTAACCCTACTGTTTCACTTAAGTTTTCCTTCATTTTCCTCCTAAATTGTAGTCATTAATTCTTAGATCCTGTGTCTTGCTTTCATTTGATATACTTTTGTTTTCCTGAAAAATTTCTTATTTAAATTTAAAAAATGGCAAATAAAAAATAATACTTTAAATTGTTTTATGTCATAAATCACCTATAAATCAGTCCAAACATTGTTATTTCACTTAATATGGAATCCTGGGATGGAAATCAGAGGGTTTTGTTTTTGTTTTTTGTTTTTCCCCCCAATATTAAGTAATAACTTCATTGTGCTCTTCTAACTAGTATAACTGATAGATCTTTTAATGGATAATTATTTTTATGTGTTTCTGGGTTTTTGATGATTATTTCATCAATTATAATATTACATGTTACAAGAATGTGCAGTACTGAATGATATTCCTTCATTGTAATTGGTGCACAGTGGCCCTTTCCATCTATGATTTAAGTTTTTACTTTGAAGCAATTCTCCTTTGTTGCTGTTGTTCTTTGATAGTTGTTTTATTTACTCATATCTGTGAGGAATTGGACCTTCTCAATTGTATCAATTGATCCTTTTTATCTTATCGTTTAGTATATATTTTTAATTTTTAAAACTTTTATGTGTTTATTCAAATCCCAGAAAGATAAAATCTAGAGAAAGAAAACCAGAAAGACAAATGAACGGTTATGTATACCAAACAGCATTTTGTAAAGCAAGGCAACAATGGTTATTTTGTTGTAACTGGAATTTGAAGTTATAGGAATAATGAAGTTACACAAATATAATAAGTAACAACACAACAGAAGATTATTTTCTAGAAATAAGGCAGTACTGTTCTTTCATCAGAAGTATTTTACATATATTTAATCATTTCTTATAACTGTAGATCTCTATTTTTTCAGACATTCAGTTATTTTAATCAATGTTTATTAAGCCATGTTTCTATGTTAAGTAAGATGGTAAAATATTTCTATTGTAAAGGTAGTCTTTATTTATTTATTTATTTTGAGATTATAAACAAGTTGTTTTTTTCCCAAAATTGTACAATTACATAAAAATTAAACATCTTTTCCTGAATGACTTTTGGCTAAGCATTAAAATTAAGGCAGAAAAAAGTGAATTTTTTGAGATGAATAAAAACAGTGATACAACATACTAGAATCTCTGGGACACAGCTAAAGCAGTTTTAAGAGAAAAGTTTTTATAATGCTGAATACCTACATCAAGAAGTTGGAATGATCTCAAATTAAAAACCTAACATCACACCTAGTGAAACTAGGAAAACAAGATAAAATCAACCCCAAAGCTAGTGGAAGAAAAGAAACAACCAAAATCAAAGCCAAACTGAATGAAATTGAGACATGAAAATCCATACCAAAAAAAACAACAAAACTAAAAGTTGGTTTATTGAAAGAAAAAATAAAATGGATAGACTGTTAGCTAGTTTAATAACAAAAATAAATGAGATAGTATCCAAATAAACACAATCAGAAATGATGAAGGTGACATTACTACTGACCTCACAGTAATACATAAAACCCTCAGAGATTATTAAGAACACTGCTATGCACACAATCTAGAAAACCAAGAAGTCATGGATAAATTCCTGGAAACATACAATATCCTGAGATTGAACCAGGAAGAAATTAAAATTGTAAACAGACCAATAATTAGTTCAAAAATTAGTGATTTTAAAAAAACTACCAACCAGAAAAAGCCCTGGACCAAATGAATTTACAGCCAAATATTACCACACATATAAAGAGGTACCAATAACATTGAAATTACTCCAAAGCAATCAAGGAGGAAGGACTCCTCCATAATTCATTCTGTAAGACCAGCATCATTCTGATACCAAAATCTGGAAGACAACGAGAAAATAAACTTAAGGCCAATACTCCTGATGAACATAGACGTAAAATTTCTCAACAAAATTCTAGCAAATCATATGCAGCAGCACATCAAAAAGCAAATCCACAACTATCACGGAGGTTTTCTTCCTGGGATGCAAGATTGGTTCAACATATGCAATCAATAAATGTGATTTATCACATAAATGGAACTAAAAACCAAAAACACATGATATCTCAATGGACATAGAAAAGGCTTTTGATAAAAATTTAACATCCCCTCATGTTAAAAACCTTCAGGAGACTAGGCATCAAAGGCGCATACCTCATAATAATAAGAGCCATCAATGAGAAGCCCATAGTGAACATCCTTCTGAACAGACAAAAGGTGGAATTATTGCCCCAAGAACCAGAATAAGACAAAAACATCTACTCTCATCACTCCTATTCAATATATTTTGTATTTCTTTGCTTTATTCCTCTAAGTTTTTGGTAGATATTCTCAGCAGTCACTTAAAAAAATTTTTCTAGGACCATTTTTTGTCCTATTCACAGAAACTTCTTTAATGGATGAAATATGAGAACAAACAAAAAATCTAAGATAATAATCAGAACTCTTTGCATTTGCTTAATTGTTCCTCCATGTTTGCTGAATAATTTGTTTTCTAAGGAATAATTTTTCTAATATGTTCATTTTGCGTTTCCCCTTCATGTTGCAGGCTTTTCTCTGGTGTCTTGTGATTCTTCAATATCTTATAATTAACAATTAAATTGGTAAAACTATTTGCACTGCAGCATCTGATACGATTTTCTGTAAACTGAGGAAATAAATGTTAAGCTTGGGGTCCATAAGTAGGTAAATTAGGGAGTTAGGAAATTTCCCTGTGTTACTAATAACTACATTACTCACACAATTTCTTCTTAGATAATTTTTATTCTACTTTTGTAGCAAGGAACCTCAATGAGTTTCTTGGCGTTAATCTCCTGGTGTGTGTGTGTGTGTGTGTGTGTGTGTGTGTGTGTGTGTGTTTTGTAGAGAGAGGTTTAATTTATTAATCTTTAATTATGATTACAGATGTAAATCTCACACCTTCCATCTATCAGACTTGATGGTTTCTGAGTCACTAGCCTTTTCAAGATTTTGCAGAACAAATTTGCTCCTCCAGTTCATATAGATTTTGAATGCTTACTGTCTCAAGAGTTTACCCATCACATTCTATGTGCCTTTCATCTTACAAAACGTTCTTAAACTATCTGATTCATTGAGGGATCCTTTCTATTTTTTATGTTATCAAATTTTACCTTTTTATGGCACTTTTGTAAGTGTGAATGAACACATTATGTCCATCACCCTAAACTAGAAACACTGTATGGTCTATATTTAAGATGCTGCTATTATCTGCTTATTTTCCTATTTCTTTATTTTTTGTTATTAGCTGCCTATTCCATTTCATTCACACTTTAAATCTGGCAAATTCTTATAGGAGTGTTTCTGCTCCAAATATGGTCTTTATATTCATTTACATTGGATGTATGAGAAGGTAGTCAATTTTTACTTCTGTTCTTTTTACAATACTTTTCTTATAAATACTCACTTTTCCTTTTTATACTCCCTTTTCAGTCTTGAATATCCATTGTCTTTATTTAAAATGTGCCTATATATGCACTGAACTGGTCAGTGGCACAGTTAATCTCTCATACAAAGGTAAAAAAAATTAAATACAAATAAATGTGATGTAAATCAGCAAACAAATGACTGAACCATCTTTGTATGTACACGCAGATATTGTGATGATAAGAAATGTATAATTGTACAGTCAGTGAAAGAATGTCAGGGGATAACAGCAGCTGGAATAAGCCTTCTGGTTTAGACTTTAATGGTCTTCATGTTTTCTCAATTTCAAGTACCTAATACTCTAATGGTTTAGTTTAAACAAAGACATATTTTTTTCTAAAATTTTAATTAGTTCTAAATAACTTCAAGTGGCTTTCAAAAATTATTCTCTTTTTTATTGCTTGACAAATAAGATGAGATAGTGATGGCAGATGTTTCATTTATCAGTGAGTAACACTTCAAGGATTTTGAGTCATTTAAAAATCCTAGATAAGACAGAATCAATTGTTTTACTCAGTAACACTGGGATATATATATAAGAACATATTAATGCTTTTGATCTTGTTGAATCTCATTTTAACAATTTGTTTTAGTGAATATCTTGGTTCAATTCACCAAGGTTCTTATGTTTCTCATAATGTGGTTTCACCATCATTTTTACTGATGATGTTCCCCCAGTTTTTCATACAGCTTACTCCCTGACTTTGTTAATATATTCACTTGAACATTTTTTCTTCACAGAGATCTATCCAGTTGTCTCTATCAAAAACCATTCTCAGTGTTCTGAGCATATTTTATTTTTTTCTCATAATGATTAGATATATTGATGACTTATATTAATGTGTGTGTATATATATTATGTATAATATAATTGTATATATATTAAGTATATATTTAATGAGAGAGAAAGAACAAGAGTTCTTTGTGGGCAGGAACATTGTTCCATGCTTATCAAAGCTTCCATGTAAGTCCTCATTAATCTTTGTTAAAAGAATATAAAGTGAATAGTAATGGTTCAATTCTGGGCTTAGTTTTATAATAATCATTAAAGTAAAAAAACAGATACTTTGTAGGTAGCGTGATTGTAATTTCAGAATATGTTATGAAATATGTGAGTAGGTGGAGTATGGAATCTTTTCAAGACAGAAAAAAACAGCATACAGATGTATTTATTGTATGTAATTTGTCAGGATGATAGTTACAGATAAACAGGAATACTCTATATATAATTATCAATACTTTGGATACAGTTCATATTTCAGTACATTAACACTATTTTATTAACAGTCTACATACAGTAACATATTTCAAAAGTCAGTGAATTGTCCACAGCTTTTACAGAATAATTATCAAAGTTAATACAGTTAAACAAGCTTTTATTCTTGCCAAACACAAAACAAGAATCTTTATATCATCTATTATAGCCAGGACCCACACCTCAAATTCAATTATAACCTCACTAGAACCAAATTTTAGCCAAACTCTCCATTAAAGCAATTTCAAAAACATAATATTTTAATAAAAGCCAAGTTTTCTGGGTTAAAAATCCATCTTTTTATTTATAAGGTTATTAAATATTGCCTCAATACAAGCATGGCACTTTAGCTTACCATTTTTTAACCAAGTGGAAATTCTCTAGATCTGAGTTGATGTGGTTTAATATGTTAAAACAAGGCATTGAAAATGTCTAGATGAGTTCTCATAGCTCCATAAACACAAAGGCTCGCTCCTGGACTTTATTAGTTTTCAGTAAGATTACACATGCAAGCATCCATATTCCAGTAAGGATAACCTCTACATAAACAGAGTATTAAAAGGATCAGGTATCAGGCATACAACAGCAGCTCATAACACCTTGCTCAACCACCCCCACCCACTCTGCCATGGGAAACAGCAGTGATAAAAATTAAGCAATAAACAAAAGGTTGACTCAGTTAAACTTCTTGGGTTGGTAAATTTCACCCAGCCACTAGGGTCATATGATTAACCTGAACTAATAAAAAGCAGCATAAAGTGCTTTGAAGTTAATTCCCATAATAAAGCTAAACTTTAATCTGGAGAAAGTGCCAGCTAAAATAAAAATAAACTACGAAAGTGAGGTTAATGCCCTATGAATAGGATGGCTAAGGCCCAAACTGGGTTTTGACACCCCACTATGCTTAGCCTTAAACTTAAATAATTTAACAAACAAAATTATTCACCAGAGTATTACAAGCAAGAGCTTAAAACTCAAAGGACATGGCCAAGGTTTATACTCCTCTAAAGGAGCCTGTTCTATAATCGTTAAACCCTGACATATCCCACTATCTCTTGGCAACTCAGCCTATATACTGCCATCTTCAGCAAACCCTAAAAAGGTCTCAAAGTAAGCGCAAGTAGCTGCATAAAAACATTAGGTCAAAGTGTAGCCTATGACATGGAAAGAAGAGGGCTACATTTTCTTTTTTTTTTTTTTTTACAATTTTTTTTATTATACTTTAAGTTTTAGGGTACATGTGCACATTGTGCAGGTTAGTTACATATGTATACATGTGCCATGCTGGTGCGCTGCACCCACTAACTCGTCATCTAGCATTAGGTATATCTCCCAATGCTATCTCTCCCCCCTCCCCCCACCCCACCACAGTCCCCAGAGTGTGATAGTCCCCTTCCTGTGTCCATGTGATCTCATTGTTCAATTCCCACCTATGAGTGAGAATATGCGGTGTTTGGTTTTTTGTTCTTGCGATAGTTTACTGAGAATGATGATTTCCAATTTCATCCATGTCCCTACAAAGGACATGAACTCATCAGTTTTTATGGCTGCATAGTATTCCATGCTGTATATGTGCCACATTTTCTTAATCCAGTCTATCATTGTTGGACATTTGGGTTGGTTCCAAGTCTTTGCTATTGTGAATAGTGCCGCAATAAACATACGTGTGCATGTGTCTTTATAGCAGCATGATTTATAGTCCTTTGGGTATATACCCAGTAATGGGATGGCTGGGTCAAATGGTATTTCTAGTTCTAGATCCCTGAGGAATCGCCACACTGACTTCCACAATGGTTGAACTAGTTTACAGTCCCACCAACAGTGTAAAAGTGTTCCTATTTCTCCACATCCTCTCCAGCACCTGTTGTTTCCTGACTTTTTAATGATTGCCATTCTAACTGGTGTGAGATGGTATCTCATTGTGGTTTTGATTCGCATTTCTCTGATGGCCAGTGATGATGAGCATTTTTTCATGTGTTTTTTGGCTGCATAAATGTCTTCTTTTGAGAAGTGTGTGTTCATGTCCTTCGCCCACTTTTTGATGGGGTTGTTTGTTTTTTTCTTGTAAATTTGTTTGAGTTCATTGTAGATTCTGGATATTAGCCTTTTGTCAGATGAGTAGGTTGTGAAAATTTTCTCCCATTTTGTAGGTTGCCTGTTCACTCTGATGGTAGTTTCTTTTGCTGTGCAGAAGCTCTTTAGTTTAATTAGATCCCATTTGTCAATTTTGGCTTTTGTTGCCATTGCTTTTGGTGTTTTGGACATGAAGTCCTTGCCCATGCCTATGTCCTGAATGGTAATGCCAAGGTTTTCTTCTAGGGTTTTTATGGTTTTAGGTCTAACATTTAAATCTTTAATCCATCTTGAATTGATTTTTGTATAAGATGTAAGGAAGGGATCCAGTTTCAGCTTTCTACATATGGCTAGCCAGTTTTCCCAGCACCATTTATTAAATAGGGAATCCTTCCCCCATTGCTTGTTTTTCTCAGGTTTGTCAAAGATCAGACAGTTGTAGGTATGCGGCGTTATTTCTGAGGGCTCTGTTCTGTTCCATTGATCTATATCTCTGTTTTGGTACCAGTACCATGCTGTTTTGGTTACTGTAGCCTTGTAGTATAGTTTGAAGTCCGGTAGTGTGATGCCTCCAGCTTTGTTCTTTTGGCTTAGGATTGACTTGGCGATGCAGGCTCTTTTTTGGTTCCATATGAACTTTAAAGTAGTTTTTTCCAATTCTGTGAAGAAAGTCATTGGTAGCTTGACGGGGATGGCATTGAATCTGTAAATTACCTTGGGCAGTATGGCCCTTTTCACGATATTGATTCTTCCTACCCATGAGCATGGAATGTTCTTCCATTTGTTTGTATCCTCTTTTATTTCCTTGAGCAGTGGTTTGTAGTTCTCCTTGAAGAGGTCCTTCACATCCCTTGTAAGTTGGATTCCTAGGTATTTTATTCTCTTTCAAGCAATTGTGAATGGGAGTTCACTCATGATTTGGCTCTCTGTTTGTCTGTTGTTGGTGTATAAGAATGCTTGTGATTTTTGTACATTGATTTTGTATCCTGAGACATTGCTGAAGTTGCTTATCAGCTTAAGGAGATTTTGGGCTGAGACAATGGGGTTTTCTAGATATACAATCATGTCGTCTGCAAACAGAGACAATTTGACTTCCTCTTTTCCTAATTGAATACCCTTTATTTCCTTCTCCTGCCTAATTGCCCTGGCCAGAACTTCCAACACTATGTTGAATAGGAGTGGTGAGAGAGGGCATCCCTGTCTTGTGCCAGTTTTCAAAGGGAATGCTTCCAGTTTTTGCCCATTCAATATGATATTGGCTGTGGGTTTGTCATAGATAGCTCTTATTATTTTGAAATATGTCCCATCAATACCTAATTTATTGAGAGTTTTTAGCATGAAGGGTTGTTGAATTTTGTCAAAGGCTTTTTCTGCATCTATTGAGATAATCATGTGGTTTTTGTCTTTGGTTGTGTTTATATGCTGGATTACATTTATTGATTTGCGTATATTAAACCAGCCTTGCATCCCAGGGATGAAGCCCACTTGATCATGGTGGATAAGCTTTTTGATGTGCTGCTGGATTCGGTTTGCCAGTATTTTATTGAGGATTTTTGCATCAATGTTCATCAAGGATATTGGTCTAAAATTCTCTTTTTTGGTTGTGTCTCTGCCCGGCTTTGGTATCAGAATGATGCTGGCCTCATAAAATGAGTTAGGGAGGATTCCCTCTTTTTCTATTGATTGGAATAGTTTCAGAAGGAATGGTACCAGTTCCTCCTTGTACCTCTGGTAGAATTTGGCTGTGAATCCATCTGGTCCTGGACTCTTTTTGGTTGGTAAGCTATTGATTATTGCCACAATTTCAGCTCCTGTTATTGGTCTATTAAGAGATTCAACTTCTTCCTGGTTTAGTCTTGGGAGAGTGTATGTGTCGAGGAATTTATCCATTTCTTCTAGATTTTCTAGTTTATTTGCGTAGAGGTGTTTGTAGTATTCTCTGATGGTAGTTTGTATTTCTGTGGGATCGGTGGTGATATCCCCTTTATCATTTTTTATTGTGTCTATTTGATTCTTCTCTCTTTTTTTCTTTATTAGTCTTGCTAGCAGTCTATCAATTTTGTTGATCCTTTCAAAAAACCAGCTCCTGGATTCATTGATTTTTTGAAGGGTTTTTTGTGTCTCTATTTCCTTCAGTTCTGCTCTGATCTTAGTTATTTCTTGCCTTCTGCTAGCTTTTGAATGTGTTTGCTCTTGCTTTTCTAGTTCTTTTAATTGTGATGTTAGGGTGTCAATTTTGGATCTTTCCTGCTTTCTCTTGTGGGCATTTAGTGCTATAAATTTCCCTCTACACCCTGCTTTGAATGCGTCCCAGAGATTCTGGTATGTTGTGGCTTTGTTCTCGTTGGTTTCAAAGAACATCTTTATTTCTGCCTTCATTTCGTTATGTACCCAGTAGTCATTCAGGAGCAGGTTGTTCAGTTTCCATGTAGTTGAGCGGCTTTGAGTGAGATTCTTAATCCTGAGTTCTAGTTTGATTGCACTGTGGTCTGAGAGATAGTTTGTTATAATTTCTGTTCTTTTACATTTGCTGAGGAGAGCTTTACTTACAAGTATGTGGTCAATTTTGGAATAGGTGTGGTGTGGTGCTGAAAAAAATGTATATTCTGTTGATTTGGGGTGGAGAGTTCTGTAGCTGTCTATTAGGTCCGCTTGGTGCAGAGCTGAGTTCAATTCCTGGGTATCCTTGTTGACTTTCTGTCTCGTTGATCTGTCTAATGTTGACAGTGGGGTGTTAAAGTCTCCCATTATTATTGTGTGGGAGTCTAAGTCTCTTTGTAGGTCACTCAGGACTTGCTTTATGAATCTGGGTGCTCCTGTATTGGGTGCATATATATTTAGGATAGTTAGCTCTTCTTGTTGAATTGATCCCTTTACCATTATGTAATGGCCTTCTTTGTCTCTTTTGATCTTTGTTGGTTTAAAGTCTGTTTTATCAGAGACTAGGATTGCAACCCCTGCCTTTTTTTCTTTTCCATTTGCTTGGTAGATCTTCCTCCATCCTTTTATTTTGAGCCTATGTGTGTCTCTGCACGTGGGATGGGTTTCCTGAATACAGCACACTGATGGGTCTTGACTCTTTATCCAATTTGCCAGTCTGTGTCTTTTAATTGGAGAATTTAGTCCATTTACATTTAAAGTTAATATTGTTATGTGTGAATTTGATCCTGTCATTATGATGTTAGCTGGTTATTTTGCTCGTTAGTTGATGCAGTTTCTTCCTAGTCTCAATGGTCTTTACATTTTGGCATGATTTTGCAGCGGCTGGTACTGGTTGTTCCTTTCCATGTTTAGCGCTTCCTTCAGGAGCTCTTTTAGGGCAGGTCTGGTGGTGACAAAATCTCTCAGCATTTGCTTGTCTGTAAAGTATTTTATTTCTCCTTCACTTATGAAGCTTAGCTTGTCTGGATATGAAATTCTGGGTTGAAAATTCTTTTCTTTAAGAATGTTGAATATTGGCCCCCTCTCTTCTGGCTTGTAGGGTTTCTGCTGAGAGATCCGCTGTTAGTCTGATGGGCTTCCCTTTGAGGGTAACCCGACCTTTCTCTCTGGCTGGAGGGCTACATTTTCTAAGCTTAGAATACCCACGCCAGCCTTTATGAAATATAATGACAAAAGACAATTTAGTAGTAAGTCAAGAACAGACAGCTTGATTAATAGGACCATGAAGCATACACACACTGCCCATCACCCTCCTCATATCCCTATTAATTTCAAATTTATAATTAACAAAAACTGCCTGGGTGCAGTGGCTCACACCTGTAACCCCAGCATTTTGAGAGGCTGAGTCAAGAGGAGAGCAGGAGTTTGAGACCAGCCTGGGCAACATGGAGCAACCCTGTCTCTACAAAAATAAAATAAAATAAAATAATAAAATAAATTACTGAACATGGTGGTATGCACCTATAATCCCAGCTACTTGGGAGGCCTAGGTGGAAGGATCACTGTAGCCTCATAGGTGGAGGTTACATTGAGCTGAAATCACACCACTGTACTCCAGCCTAGGTAAAACAATGAAACTTTCTCTCAAATAAACAACAAAATCTTATCTAAGAGGAGGTAAATCCTAACAAGGAAAGTGTACTGGAAAGTGTCCTCGGAATAATGAAAAGTATAGCTTAACTTAAAGCACCCAGTTTACAATGGGAAGATTTCACGTCAACTGACCACTTTGGACCAAAACCAGCGCTAATCCTAACAAATCATACTATTCACCTTTTCTAAACCAAATCATTTACCCAAAACAAAAAGGATCAGATACAGAAGTTAATTTATTTAGGTGCTATAAATAAAGCAACATAAGAGAAAGATGAAATAATTCCAAGTCCAAGAAAGAAAAGCTAACCCCTTGTATCTTTTGCATAATCAATGAGCTAGTACAATTTTACGAATAGAACTTTAGCTGAAGATCCTGAAACCAGATGAGCAACTCACAGACACTCAAAAGGACACATTCATTTATGTAGTAAAATAGAAGATCTTGGCCAGGCACAGTGGCTCACACCTGTAATCCCAGCACTTTGGGAGGCTGAGGCGGGTGGATCACCTGAGGTCAGGAGTTAGAGACCAGCCTGACCAACATGGTGAAATCCCGTCTCTACTAAAAACACAAAATTAGCTGGGTGTGGGGGTGCATGCCTCTAATGCCAGCTACTTGGGAGGCTGAGGCAGGAGAATCGCTTGAACCCAGGAGGTGAAGTTTGCAGTGAGCCAAGATTGCACCACTGTACTCCAGCCTGGGCATTGTACTCCAGTGCGAAACTCCAAAAAATAATAATAATAATAAAAAAGAAGAAGATTTGTGACTAGAGGTGAAAAGGCTGCTGAGTGTGGTGATAGCTGGTTGTCCAAGGCAAAATTTAAGTTCAAATTTAAACTTACCTACAGAAACACAAAAACACATTTAATAAACTTTTGGCCAATATATGAACTTAAAACATGATTTAAAGTCAATATAAACAACAGAGATGAAAACTTAATAGATTGTACTGCCTGTTTAAATAAAATATCTGTAAGGAAATTATTTAAAAACATCATTTTACATGGGACTTGCCCAGGCAGGAATGGACATCTCTTTTATGCTGAAAATCCTGATAGACCATTCATTCTATAACTATGTGCCAGGTGATGTACTTGATCCTAATGATGTTGCCTTGGCCAGGAAAATTTTCTTATGTGCCAAATAGCTCACCAGGGAATAAATGTGATTATACATATAATTTCATGATAGCTGATTGTTTCTTGCGAGAAATGTAAAGTAAGATTAAATCAAATAACAAACAAACCATTAATCTAAAGCCAAGTCGTACTAAAAGAATGGTTAAGAATTAGCTGGGTAAAGCACATGTAGGTAGCATTACAGGCAGAATGAAGAGCATACATTTAACTTGAGAAAGTACATAAAGTGTACAAAGACTAAAGAGAAGTCTGATAGGAGTAGTGAACAGGGTTGTCTTCCAAATGAGATTAGACATATACAAGCCACGTTACAAAATGTCTTTCAGGATATATTAATTATTTTGGAGTTTTTATTTGGATGAAAACAGGAAAGCACCCAATAAACATCAGATAAGGAACAGAAGAAGATGTATTTCTTTATACCTATTTAAAATGTAAAAAGCATTATTTTATATCAAAGTAATCTCTAGACGTGTGGTAAATTAAATTATTAGTTCTCTTTCTTCACTTCCCTAGATATGAATCACATGTCACACCCTTGCCAAGATCTCATAGCAGAATATACTTCCTAGCCTCTTGACACAGGCTAGGACCTTTGTCTTAACTGGACCAATGAAATGTTACTGGACATGATATTTACAGAGGATTGATCTGTGCTTATATGAATGACATTGCTCCTTTGGGCTTCTGCCACATGGTTAGTGGCTTACTCTTATATTTGGCCTCTAGAAGAAAACAAATGAACACCAGAAAATACATAGCTTCTGAACCCAAAGTAGAGTCATATTCGCTAAACTGAAGCTATATTTGCAAGAAATAAGTGTTTATTGTTTTTGTGCCACTAAGGGTGTCAGTGGGTGTTTGTTACACAGTATTGTTGAAAGAATTAACTAAATGATATAATGTGGTGAAAAAAATCCACCCAGAACGACTTAAAGTTAGAGATCAACCTGCTCTATTACTAAATTTATTTTACCATGGCCCATGATTATCCTTGCATCACTCTAAATTGTGTATTTATGAATCTCTTCATAAATGTGTCAAATAGAGGCATTATTTACTAATGCAACAATAAGAATAGCACAGATGTAATAGTTCCCTCTTACACTCCTCCTACCATTTCTCTCTGCATATTTGTGGTAGTTACATTGTCCTATCATTTTAACTCTTTTTAACACTTCATAATGTATTTCAATTTTTATATGTTATAGTTTTAACTTCAGACACTGTCACTTAACTCCCTCCTATGATATGTAGTTATTAATATTATAAACTTCCCTTCCCAGTCCTATTTCCCACTTCTACTTCACAAATGCAGTTAATTCTATTTTACATTTCATATTATTAATAATATTAATAACATATGGCTTCAGTTTTCAAGACTGATTTTACTATAAAGCCAGTGATACTTGGGATTGATTTTTGATTCACCTGTTCTCAATCTAAGCATTCACAAACATGCCAAGTTTGGTTTGCCTTACCTACCTGACATTCAAGCAAACAGGCGCAGAATCTACAGAAGAGTCAGAACGGTCCAGGTGAATGGAAAAAGAAAATCCGAGAGTGGCAAAGCAGAACTTCTCACAATACTTGATGGGACCATATGGTATTATTGACATCTGGGGCCCCTTAGGGGTTCCAAAGGGCATGGTACCTTGTACCTCCAACTGGAAATATGCATGTTACTAGCTTTGTGTAGTTGCCTTTGTGTATATATATATATATATATACATATATATATAGATAGATAGATGTTCATAATCTTTGTGATTTTATCTTTAAATAAAAGTGCTTTCACAGACAATAATAACTTTTCTTTTGTCATTACTCTGCTAATAAATGCCTGCACAGTAGTCATAATCAATTATAATTTTTCCCTATAGAAGGATAAAAATGAAAATAATTATATTATTATTACTATATGAATGCTGTTTGTAACCCCAATGTCATTATCCTGGTTATAAGCAAAAGAGGATATTCCTAGTTATATGGATTAGGCTCTTTTATATTCTGTCAGTTATGCAAAACCATACCACATTTTAATTTTCTTATTTGACCCTGATTCTTCTGTGCACTTCTAAATTTTTTTTTTCTGAGTTTTTATTTTTCTTAATTTTTTTTTTGTTCCTTGTTTTTATCCTGTTGATAGAAAAAATGCCCTGGTCACATCCCTAATTTATCTATGTCATTAATTTCATTTTCTGAAGCATACAATCCATATTTTCATCAAGACATTTCTTTCTTTGGACACCTTACTTTCTGCTTCAAACTGGATCAGACGTTTAAAATAAAAGTCTTGCTTTAAAATTTTAATTATTCTTGGTATTTCATTTTCCCAAATTATAATCCTGTATTAGTTTTCTGTTTTCTAGATCTCATATTTACCTTTTTCTTGGTTGCTTCTTCCATTTGCTCATTTGCATAGTTATTCAGAAAGGGAGAACAAGAAGAAAACCTTATGAATCTTCAATTCTCCAAATATATACATCTATATGTGTTAATGTGCATGTTTGTGTACATATGTGCATGTGTTTTGTGTAGTTAAAATGAGATGATCAAAGTATAATTTCATGAATTACATCCTTTACTGCCATAAAGGATATTTTTTCCACACTGCTCAAAAGGGGGAGAATAACAATAACAAATCTCAGAGAAAATATGCTGGATAGATTAGGTACATTAATCAATCACACAGTTAGTGAGCTCTAGTTTCATGTGGAGTCCACATTATTAAAGTCCAGTTGCTAATTAGGATGAAAGTAAGCCTCTGTGAGTGTGAAGTCTAAATAATATTTGAGTCACATCTTTGCAGAAGAGATTCTCAAATGAGACATCTTGACAAACACAGTGGAGATTCCAGGTCACAGGCAAGGTCCCTCCATGCTAGTGAGCAGCACCAGCGTTGGTGGGCGAGGCTTCAGAGAATAGCTCAAAGATTGGAAGAGAATAGCCTTCCTGCAGCCTGAGCACTAGGTCTTCAAAGATTCAGTTGATAAAGATTAGCCCTGCCACAGCTTAAGCTCTTTCAAAATCTTGAGTTTATGTATGTTTTGCTGTCTAGTAGTTGAGACAGTAACTCACCCATGTGGTCTAATAAGGTGTGACGTAACATTCTTCTAGGGAGAGAGATTATACTCCATGTTCTTATCACAGAAAAACAGATGACACTCACATAGTAGGTGTCTGGAATCATTTCAAAGGTACATAACTCTGTGTGTGTGTGTGTGTGTGTCTGTGTGTGTGTGTGTGTGTGTGTGTGTGTACTAGAGGGAAAATTTATATTTTAGAATTTTAAATTAAAAATGATTTATGAGATGGCTAATGCCAATCTGATTGTCATTCTTTTGTAGTAGACATTCTTTTGTAGATCTCTCATCTTTTAACAAAAATCTTAATCCATTTAATTTATTTTTGAAAACTTTTAGAATTCTCTATTTTATCCTTGATGTTATACAATGACACATGTATTTTTATTTTTCTTAATTCATCCTATAAAATATATTTTTGAATTTTAAAACCTATGTTTTCATTTTAAATTTTAATAGTTTTAATGTTTTAAATAGTTTTATTATTAACTTCCCTCTCCCCTGTTATCTGTTCGTATTGTTTTGATGCAGAACCATTAGATAGGTGCATTTTGTTTTCTCTTATTTTTTCATACATTTGCTTATTTCCTATATTCTAGACTTGAAATAACTCATCCAACCATTCTAGTTAGTGTTTTATATTATAAATGATATTTATTACTAATGTCAAATAGTTATTATTCTACTCTGTTTATTTCTTCTAGAGTATCTTTTTAAATGGATTTCATCTTTAAAAATATATCTTTATTATATTTTTAAATATAATATTTCTCTATTATGTTTTTTCAATATTGTAAATATCTTTTATGTTTCTGTAGATGCTTTATTATTTCTCTCTTTATTATGTTTTTCAATATTGTAAATATCTTTTATGTTTCTGTAGATGCTTGTTGGAGGATATGTATAATTAAAATTGAAATAATAGGCTGCTTCAAATCATAGCAAACAAGAGTTTCCTTTGCTGTTATATAGGCTGGACTTTTCCTCCAACAACTTCTGAATGGGTAACTGGCTAGAAATCTAACGTCTGTTCATAGGCTATTTTCACTAGCTTGTTTTCAGGGCTAAGTTAGGGTCAACAAACAAACGTTTTTTGTCCTCCAAAGTTAAAACAGGAAGTTTTACTCTGGGACATTCATACTGAACTCCATGTAACCTGGAAATAGTTCGCTCAGTTTCCTCAGAGATTTTTACTTCTACATCAAAAGAAAGACTATAGTGCTGGGGAAAGGATGGGGTAAAATAAAGATAAAATTTTTCCAATACAGAACCCCAAATAATCATAGAGTCTGTTTCCTTTTCTCCTCTTCTCTCTGCATCTCCTCAATACAAGCTTCCCTAGAATTCTTTTGAAAAAAATGACTTCAGTGTTTGTTGTCTAAATTATGGAAGGCAACTTTTTACTATGCTTCATCCACCTTTGTATGCAAGTCCACTGTTCATATTCCTAAAATTTGTTTAAAATGCTATTTTATTAGTAATATACTATATTACAGATATAGTAAATTTTATAATTAATTATCTATATGGGATATCTATATTTAAAAGTAAATAAAATACATATGATCAATTGAAATATTTTGAGCTGAAATCATGTATTATGAAATTCTCATAATGAAACTCATGTATAATGAAACTCTCATAATAATTTTGTATCCTCCCTTCTCATGTCAGGGACTGAGGCAAAGGATCCTTGGCATATTTGGCTCCAATTAACATTCAGTTACTATCACTATTTTTAATTGCTTTGCTTTCTTAATTTTGTGTCCTAAAAAAAATGCTGTCTTCTTTTTAGTAGTATGTTTTTAATAAACATTTATATATTGATTGTTTGGACATTCTCATGTTAAGTATCACTTACCAGATATTTTTATCTGAAACTACTAACAAACCTTTTCTCTCGAAAATTCCAGCATACAGATCACTCCTCCAAACTCCATTCTATTTACAGTAATAATAGATGTGGCAGGACATTGTTCCAAGAATGGTATGATGGTACATTCTTTTCTGACTTCAATAGTAAGAGAGAAATGCATATATTCAAAATATTTAAGTATGAAATTAAAAGGACTGTAGATTGACAAGACACGTGTATTTTTTTTCAGTTTGTAAAATTAAATAAGTATAACGATTGTCACCGTTAGAGGGTCGTGACTGTAGTTTGTCCAGGTTCTTGGTATTTTGAACAAAGAGTTGGACAAAACAAAGAAAGAATGAAGCAACAAAAGAACCAAAGCAGGTATTTATTGAAACCGAGAGTACAATCCACAGTGGTAGCGGGCCCAAGCAGCGGCTCAAGGGCCCTGATACAGAATCTTCTTGTGTCCAAATACCCCCTAGAAGTTTTCCATTGGCCACTTCATGTTCACCTCATGTAACTGAAATGGTATCGCACAATTAGTCTGATTGGTTGCGGACGGCAACCATTCAGAGGCTGGAGTGAAGTTACAAATTTGCAAATGAAGACTGGACCTGCACTCAGTATGATTTGTTGCGGACAACCAATTTCCACCAACCAGTTTCTCATCTGACTCGCAAAAAAGTCAAAGGGAGCAGCCTCTGGTCCTTTTGTTACTTAGATGTATAAAGTTAGAGTTTTCCTTTCAATTTAGTTCTAGCAAGTCGAAGTGAAACAGCCTTAGGTTCCCTGCCTCCAGACCTGATTCTCCTGCCTCGCTATGATTTACTGAAGTACAGTATGTGATAAGCAGATTTTAGAGAGATATTATAAAATCAGTTTTGACCTTTTAGAGTTTGAATTCCTTACAAACATCTATGTAGATAAGTATATAGGAAATTGTGCATGTGTATTGATAACCTGTGGCCTACATATGGATAGTGACTGAAGTAAAATTAGGGAAGCAATCTAGGAATAAAGCGCAAAGAAAGAAGAAAAGACAAAGACAAGGAGGCAATGATCATTGCTATGAGTTAGTCTGCATAAAACATATGAACTCAACAAATGAGATTAAGCTGGAGCATTTAGAGAAGCAAAGGAAAAAAAATAAGACATCAAATGTTTAGGAAGCTGCAGAAAGAGACTAAAATAGTCTGAAGATCATGTCCTGGCCAAAAAAGAAAAAAAGGTATAAGCGATTTGCTGAATGAAGAAATCATTTTCAGACCTTACTGTATTCTAGACATTTTTCTTGGGCCTGCAATAAAAAAAAATAGTCATGCACTCAAGGACTCTAAAATGTAGCATGAAAAAAATGGTCATTGCATAATTAAATGAAAGTAACAAAAAGGACAAGCATACCAAATATACCAAATGAAAATACCAAAAAGGAGACACATAATATGTTCTGAAAATGTATGGGCATAATTTCTGGAAAAGTAATGCTTAAGGTGTGACTAAAATATGGTCAGTAAATGTTATTCTAACAAGGTATACATTCTCTAATGCCTGCGGTTTGAGAAAAGGAAGACAGAAGGAGGAAAGTCCTATTGGTTGGGAACCTTCAGAGAAAACCAGTTTTAATTTCTTCCATCTACAATTAAAAAGAAAAAAGGAAGAATTAGCACAAATTTCCAACTCATATGCACAGCTGAAATGGCATTAGATGTGTTGGAGAGACAGGAGGAAAAGTATACAACCAATTTTCATAAAACTGAAAGATACTGGATCATATGCACTTGTCACACCACTATGAGAATCAGTTGGATCACATTTTGGAGCTTTTCTGTAACATTAGAAATCATTTTTGGATCACAATTTTCAATATTTTAGTGATGAGATTTAAACCCTCTTACAGTTTGCCATGATACATAAATTGAAAAACCTTATGGTAAATGAAGAAATGATTTGTTTTGAAATGTCTAAAACCCAATTTATAAAACTTTTATTTTTGTAAAAACAGAAAGAATGTTCAAATAACTGAAAAAGTCTCAATAACTCCTCTAAATTAAGGAATATGCACCATCTTAAATAGATCATTTTCTCTGTAACAGCTCTTAATATTAAGCACCTTATCTATATAACTTCTTTAGTGATCTCCACAGTTTTCTTGACCTTTATGTAGACGAAGTTTTCAGGGAAAATATCAACTTGGCAAGTTATTAAAAGTCAAAAGGAAACCTAAATCCTATGTTTAAGAACTGGAAAAGGCCAAAACACTTAGAATCTTGCAACATTGTATTTTTCACACTATAGAAACTACCTTAAAATGGCAGTTTCAGAATAAATTCATTTTAAATTTGTCACTACGTGGCAATTTGCCTTTTCAAATCCTAAATAACGGCTTCTACGTTAGTGTGTTCGAGATTTGAGAGAAATAGATTATTCTGGAGTCATATAGTTTGTGATTGATTACCAGGGAGTTAGGCATTATTAACACAAACAGAGATGCATTCAGAACATCAGTAAGTAGTTTCAGATATTTTTTGTTTTAACAATTTGGATAACAAATGCATTTTTTTAAGTTTACTAAGATTGAGAAAAAATGTGTATTTTATGATAGTAAAAAAAGAAAAAAATAAATTTTATTGAGAAGTCAAAAGACTTTATTTGACGTTTGTGTAGGTATTTTAAAGCTAAAAGGAAACTCAGAGACTAGGATTTAATTGAGATGCCATGGGGATTGCTTTAAGGGCATGGAGGGCAAAGAACGATGTGAGATTTTCAGAATTTGTTACCACTTTTTCCAAAAGAAACAATTGTCTTTTTATTGATATTATATATCAGGTCCTGAGGGGATTTTTGTGTTTTTTTAATCAAAGAGAAGCAACAGCAAATAAATTTAAGGGAAAAAAAAATGAGAGAGAAAATAAACAAAACAATGACACATCTATTCCAAATAGAACCCAACAACATAGTATATAAAAGCAAAACCAAATATTCAAAGAGGATAGGAATTAAGCAATATCTGAGGCTATCCCAAAAGTCTTGGTGGTTTTTGTTGTTATTCGTGGTGTTGTTTTTTTTGTTGTTGTTATTTTTGTATCTACCATTCATTTGTATATGTCACTTTCCTTTTCAAGGATAGAGTCACAGACCCGTGGAAGTAGGAAAGGCCCATATATCTGAGTACGTGTCTCTTGCTAATCATTTATGTCTATGTGACAGACTAACAACCTCTTGGACAAATACCTTTTTCTGGAGTATTAACTTTTGAAACAGTTTTATTGAGAATAATTGATATACAAAAAACTGAATATATTTAATATGTACAATTTGATGAGTTTGGAAATACACATCCACAAAATGATCACCACAATTAAGATAATCAACATATGGGCTACCTCCAGAACTTTCCTCTCACTCCTTCGAGTTTTGTTTTGTTTTATTCTGTTTGATGGTAAGAAGACAACATGAGATAACCTCTGTTGACAAATTTTGACGTATACAATAGTGACTTGTTAAATACAGCCACTATTTTGTACAGCAGACCTCCAGAAATTATTTATTTTGCACGACTGATATTTTAGAGCCATTGAACGAGATGTCACCTCACACTTGTTGGATGGTTACTATTAAAAAAACAAAGGATAGCAAGTGCTGGCAAGGATGTGGATTAATTAAAAACCTTGTACACTGTTCCTAGGAATGTCAATTTGTGAAGCCACTGTGGAAAATAGAATAGAGGTTCCTCAAATTTAAAGATTAGTCAGGTGCAGTGGCAAATGCCTGTGATCCCAGTACTGTGGAAGGCTGAGGTGGAAGGAATGCTTGAGGCCAGGAGTTTGAGACCCACCTGGACAAAACAGCAAAATCATCCCTCTACAAAAATTTAAAAGTTAGCTGGGTGTGGTGGTGCATGCCTGTAGGGTGGCACCTTAGAAGGTTGAGGTGGGAGGATTGCTTGAGCAAGTTCAGGGCTGCAGTGAATTATAAGAACACCACTGCACTCCAGCCTGCATGATAGAGCAAGTGTCAGCCTAAAACAAACAAACAAACAAAAAACAAAAAAAAACATAGCGAGAGAGAGAGAGTAAATAAAAACAACAGACAACTTCTGGGCATATTTTTTAAATAACTGAAATGAGGATCTCAAAGAGATATCTGCACCCCCATGTTCCTCACAGGTCAAGTACTTTTTAGTTGTTATAATTTGGAAAGGTAAATGACTACTGATTTCATTCAAGGGCAATGAGTTCCCAATGAGGAACTCTTCTGCCACTTCCCCTCATTGATATTTAAAACCACTTAATTCTAAAATTCATAAGGGATGGACTATCTCAATTTAGTTCAAACATTTAAGTTCTAAATGTAAGGAATTCAAGATGAGTTAGAAGTAATAAGCATATTTATAATGAGATAATAAAAGCTAGAATTTGCTTGAGAGAATTGTAAATTAAATATTAGAGTAGCATACAAGTGAATGAGTTTAATATCCATCTAGGAAAAAGGAAGATTAGAAAGTGCTTCATGCAGTAATCTTTTATAAGGACCAGTAAGTATGTTTGACCTTTGCTCCAGAGAGAGAGAGAGACATTATGGTTTTTATACTAGACCAAAAAGATACCTCCTCCTTGATCTGTAGGGGCATACTCTCTATATATCCCAAGGATGTTGGCCAAACAAATTTCTTTGAACATATAGTCTTGAATAAAGGCAGTCATTACCTCTCCTCATAAGATGGGCAGAAATGTGAAGAGCTCATGGATAACTGTCTCAAAATAGAGACAAGGTACATCAGTAAGCCACATGGGAGATGATCTATCCCTGGAACTATGGAAGAGTGAATGGCAGAAGAGTGAAATCAAGGATTACAAAAATGGGTTAAAGGGAATGAATACGCATTGTTTGGGAATTGGGGAAATGAATATCTGAGGATTTGAATATGAATAAAATCTATATGTGTTTCAAAGCATAAAATAACTATACTTGGGTAGATGCTATCTTGGCAATTACTTGCTAAGTAGAAAGTGACCCAGAAAATTCACATATAAATGATTCAACAAAACACTGTATTTGTAATCTCTATCAATTAAAATATTAACATTTTATTTGTAAACTGATATAGAAAATATTGGTTAATTTAAAGGTGATATTATCTTTGTTATCGATTCTTATATATATTAGTTAGTTTTTCTTTTGGTTCATCTTTTGACAGCCCATTAGAAGCTAAATACATGTTATTTGTTAGGAAAAAATAAATTTTTCTATAGCTAATGAGAAACATTGCATTTAAGTAATAAATAACTTTGAATTTAGTATACATTTATCATAAGAATTATTCATTTATGATATCTAGAGATATTGCCAAAAGCCAATCATGCTTATACATATATATATAACTAAGAGAAAAAATCACAATTTTTATTCATGTCACGTTGCATCTAAACGACAGGTATGTGATTTATCCTACCTGCTGCAGTTGACAATTTAGTCATCAGTAAAAAACAAATTAAATCCATTACTTTGCATGTTAGCAACCTGACCTATGGAACCATGGAGTTGTTAAGCAACAGCAAGCTTTATTTGTACTCATAGAAAACCAAAACTCATGTCAAAGAAAAAAGATTAGTATTAAGAAAGAAAATTTTGAGTGCCATTTGTGATTGATAATTAAAATCAATTTCAAATTACATAATAGCAAATATATTAATCCATTCTCACACTGCTATAAGGAAATGCCTGAAACTGGGTAATTTATATATTAAAAAAGAGCTTTAATTAGCTCACAGTTCCACAGGCTGTATAGGAAGCATGGCAGCATTTGTTCAGCTTCTGGCGAGGCCTCAGCAAACTTACAATCACACAGAAGGCAAACAGGGAATCAGCACTTCACATGACCTAAACAGGAGGAAGGGAGTGGGGAGATGCCACACACTTTTAAAATAACCAGATCCTATGACAACTCACTCATTCGCTATCAGGAGAACAGCACTGAGGGGATGGTGCCAGGCCATTCATGAGAACTCCATCGCCGTGATTCAACCATCTTCCATCAGGCCTGACCTCCAACATTGGGGATTATATTTCAGCATGATATTTGGGTGGGGCACAGATCCAAACCATGTCAGCAAGTAAAAATCTCGCTTAATTTTTAACGAATATTTGTAGAGTAAATTCATTATAAAGTAAATCCTAATGCAAGCAGTGTTATAACAATTTTCATGTATTTTTTAGAATTTGGGCCTATGGATTTATAATCAAACTTCCGAAATTCAAAAAGAAATTTAGAATTTTGAGAGGAAAATGAGGTCCTAGATAGCCTTATCTCCCCTATATAGAAATATGTTACTTTAAAACATCTACTGCTGCTAAATTTTTTTCTAATTCCATGATATTTTAGTGCCTTATTTATTTCCCAATTGGGGATAAAATCAATATTCTTATTCTTAGGTTTGGAAAAAAATAACTGACATGAATATGCTGATGGATTCTTATCAGGTAAATTCAATATACAGGGCAAAACAAAATGTCCTAGTGTGTAAGATAAAAGTAGTCATTTGATAGTACAGAAAGTTGTGCTTAAAATTCTAGATTTCTGATACTTCCGGTATTATGATTTTTTGGGGGGGTTATAACATTATCCTTTTTCCTATATGTAGCTTGCTCAAAAATTTGATTTAGAAGGATAGAAACAATCTTAGGCCAGGAAGAGGAGTAAAACAGCACAATGAGGCAAGAAACAAAACAAAACCACTTTGTGCTTGCTTGCAAAAAGATGGAGGACAACCTTAAAGTTGTCTGAGAAAGAATGGGTAGGCCACTTCCATTCCCCTTACTTTGTGACATGAAAATTTTAAAATTTCAATTCTGAATAAATTTCAAAACTGAAAAAAGTTATGATGAAAAAAGTTTTAGATGAAAATACTTTGTGGATACTGTTGCCTGAGAAATATCACAACTATTTGGATTTTGGGACAATTCTTTGAATCAAATTATTACAATTCATTTAAAATAAGTAAAAAACAAAGATCTGATTGAGTCCACTGATAATTGGTGATTTAAAAATCCTTAAACAATTCAAGAAGGAAAGGAAAAATAAAACAGAACAAAGATGATCCTAGTGGACAATTTACTTAAACTCAGTTTAAAAACAAATCTTTGGTACGCTTTTCTATATAGACACAGCTTCTGAGAAAGGTGGGCTTCTTTACTAATTATTCCCGATGACAAATAGGAAAGATTTAGCAGAAGCATTCTTTCCTGCACCTCCCTCCTCATGAGCATCTGCATATCAGTAGCATCCTCCAAGCTTTAAAAATGCTTCTAGAAGGAAGGTGAGCAACTGAAGACTTCTCTAACACTACTGTGTACCACTTCCCACCCACAGGTGAACAAGAAGTTGTGAAGCAGGTTTACCCTGCGCTGGTAGTCCAGTGAGATAGAACAACAATGCACAGAAGTTACATGAAGCTAGCTTATTACCTACAGATAGTCAGGAAAGAGCAACAGAAGCCAAGGAGTCATTGTGTGCTGGTCTCCCAAGGGTCAGAAAGCAGCACACCTTGAGTTTTATGCCTCAGGATTAATGTGACACAGAGGCCCAAAGTGTTGAAGGACATCCTATTCTAAGTGGACTGGAACAGAGCTTAGGCTGTTACAGTCAATTCCCTCTTATCTCAAGATGTTGCATTTCCAGTAAATTCTACAGTTATTCTTAAGAACTGCAAGCCAGAAGAGGTGAGGAGGAATGAGTTAGTTCAAGGCCACCCAGGGAACTATTCTGCAAAAGTGGCTCAAAAGATTATGAGAAAATGGCTTAAAGGGATGAGTGAGTAATTATTTTCCTTTTAAGTTAGTGCACCATTTTAAGCAAATTGACTAATACTATTAAGAAATTAACAGCATGTTTTCTTTCATTTGAAATTCCCAAAGCTTTTGTTCTTTCTGACAATGTATTTAAGGCAATTAAGTACTGGCAGCTATTCAAATAAGTTTAAAAATATTTTCCAAAAGAAAAGCAATTCTTTCATATGTTGTATCTGCTACTCTTACATCATACAAATGGCCATAACTAACATCTGCCAGTGATACATTTATGGAAATAGGGGCATTACATTTGGCAGGGAAGAATTTCAAGTAGATAAACCAAAACAGAGAGATTTAAAAAAAAAAGTATATCTAGTGTATGTGACATTCCTTTGGGAAACCATCTTTTCTTGGCCAAGCCAATTTATAAAATACAAAATGAGGGTCTTATCATGTTAAAAGACATGAAATATACCTGTGAATGTTATAAACAGAATATTTTTATTTGGCAGTGGTTTGTAAAATTTATGTTTTGAAGTGAAAATTATTCTGAAATTATAGAATAAGCATGTAGTTTTTTTTCAAAGCATAAAAAAATGAGTTCCTGGAAAGGAAGGGAAGCATTGCCACCTGAATATATTTGTCTGAAAAAATAATTGTCTCCTTTTAAGAGTTGACTCTGACATTGGTGGTATGTATGCTAATGGAAACAGGAGTAGTTAACTGTTCAACTGGATCAGAGTATTTAATTCACCGATCAGAAAAATAAACATTTAGTTTGGGGAGACGTCAATCTTAATCTTCATTTTCTAAATACCCTAAGTAAAATTTCTCGATAATGTTGAGGTATTTTTATCCCAATAATATTTACACTAAAATACATTTTGACGTATACCACATGACATGTGATATATAAATGTATGCTGAGAAGCACAGTCCTGATTATATTTATATTTCACTTAACCTTAGAAAACATTTTTAAAAATTCAGATGAAAAAATATTTTGTTGAAAAGAGCATACAAAATTAATTCACGTTTTAATTTTATTTTTTATACTCATGAGCATTAGACTTACGTACTTTTTCTTAAGAATGAAGCCACTTACATTCACATTTAATACATGGTTATTAAGTTTATGCAATTGATATATTATTGATTTGTATTATTCATCAGTATTTTTGATTTTCAACTGATTCAGCTGGTGCATAGTAAATGGCAACTGCCAAAAATGTAAATTAGAAAATAATCACTTTTTCTAACACATTTCACTTAATCAATTTGGTGATGCGTTGATCTACTTTTCTCCTAGTTTTTGTTTAAGACCTTATGTTATAAAACAGTTGTCAGATAACTCAATTACATCCTGTGGTAACACAAAATTGGCCAGAGATTTATAGCATCAAATTAAATTTAGAAATCAAAAACTTGTACATTGATAATTATTTTATGATTGCATTATTGGCATATGATACAAAGCTCTTTATTTTCCAAATGATTATGAAAATAAAATGGCATTCTCAAATAGGTTTAAAATATAACTGAAAAAAAATGAGAGAGCAAAATTTTATACTGGCTTTCAGTTTGTAATCCTTGAAGGAGATAGCTAGACAGGGTAGGCCTGTTGCAACATGGCACACAAGAAGCAGAGAACTACCATGACAGCATAGGGCACTTTGGCTGTAAAAGGACATGAATTAGCTCCACTGCACCTCCCTTGATTCTTGCTGTGGCATGAAAGGTATCTCCATGTTCCCCAAAGCCCCACACAACAAAACATAATAAAACCCAGATTCAGCATCATGCAGGAGAGCCTCCGAAAAGTGGAAACTATCCTAGTCTCTTTGGGATACTATCAAAAATGTCATACAATGGGTGGCTAATAAAGTAAATAAATTTATTTTTTAACAGCTGTGGAGCCTGAGAAGTTAACAGCTGAAGTTTAACAGCTGTGGAGCCTGAGAAGTTTAGAATGCCAGCACATTTGGGGTCTCACATGGTGAAGGAGGTTAGTAAGCTCTCTGTGGTCTCATTCATAAGGCGACTAATCCCATTCATTACGGCTCTACTCTTATGACTTAATCACTTCCCAAAGGCTTTAGCTCCAAATACCATCACATAGGGGATTAGATTTCAATGCTGGAATTTGAGGCGGGACAAAAGCATTGTCTGTAGCAGAGAGATGCCCAATTTTAGAAGCTTTGCAGGGGCTAGGTGGGGGAGATTACCTGCTAAACGGAGGGCAGGTAGAATATGGCTGAAAGGCAAAGGTGTCTATAGCACCTGTGAAGCAAGATCAAAAGAATACGGGAAAGACACTGATCTCTGAAAAAGTCAAACAAAGAGACCATGGGTTCAACACTTGAGACTTCAATAGCAGATGCCAACAAGCCATACCAAAGCCTGAAGAAGTCACTAATGTGAAAGCCAAAGGACAAAGAGGAAAGTAGGTGATCCTTCATGTGTGCATCTCAGGTATTCTCTCTCCCCTTATGCATGCCCTGAGTGAACCAAATGTCTATTTAGGTAGTGAGAAAATTCCAGGAAGATGGATTTTTATCTAAAAGAGCCTATTTAATTTAGGAAAGGCTGACACACTACTGTATTGTAATTAATACCAGAAGCCATAATTTTTAAGATGCAATCCAAATTTAGAGGTGTTGACTTGATTAAAAATGTGATTTAATTAAGATAGAGGAAAAGAGTAATATTGAGAAAAAGACTATTAATAAGTATACATAAAATTTTATTTGCCAACCTCTACCATACCCTAGAATCTATTATTTGTGGCTCTCTTGCCTGAACTAGTAGTTGTAAGTCATATTTGAATGGGACCTCTTAACACATGGAATAATAATCTATAGGTATAATTGCTTATTTAACCAGGCATTATTTCAGCAGTCTAAACAATGTACTTGAAATAAGAAATATATTTAGAGTTCTCTCCAACCTATTCCATTTTTATTTTCTGAAACGCCCTACCTCCCTTACCTCATATATATCTGAAGTCATAGACTAAAGTGAAATTCTATTATCCCACTTTGTTCTAACTGCTTAGAAAAGTGGCTTGGTAAACTCTACTGAGAGTTTTGATATATCCATTAAGTGTATTTTAATGAACACCAGATAATTTCTCAGATAACAATTTGGGTTTGTTATACAATATCAATATGAGTCTAGAATTGCAATATGTGTCAGGGAACAATTAGTTGGTTCTTTATGAAGCATCAACTTTGATATATGAATAAATGCAATTAGAAGATTTTGTATGTTTATATAGTTGGAATGCTAAGATCATTTCCAATTAATTACTGTTTTTCTTAGCTATATTTCTCTTATTTCAATTTTAAAATCATTGGTTCAGTCTCCTTTTATAATTGCAATAGTCAGGAGTACACCTGATGCTCAGGATATTCAACTTTGCTCCCCAGGGGACCCTTTGTGCTCTATTTTGCAAATAGTTTGAAATTTGAATTTCCTCTTCATTATATCATGAAATACTCATCTAGATAGATAGATAGATAGATAGATAGACAGACAGACAGACAGACAGATAGATAGATAAATTTTTTAATATATATATTCTTAGATTCACTTTAAATGACTGAGCTGTTCTCAGGATTATTAATACACTTAAATTGGTGATTTTCATGTGTATTTTTTACTGCCTATTAGAAAGACACTTTTTAGATATTAGTGAGAGTACTTTTGTTTGTCAGAATGGCTGCAAGGACTTCTTACATTCAAGCACAGATGACAAAGGATGCTAAGTGTACCACGTATGCATAAGACTGTCTTACATAGATAACACTTTGCCACTTCCTACAGGAAGCAACTCACAGGATATTGTTCCAGGGATAAACCTTTTTATAAAAAACTTATCACTAGGACTTAACTGTATTTCATATTTGAACAGAAATATTTTTGCATAATTTCACATACACTAACCTGAAAATAAGTAATGAGGAAAGATTATAAGAACAGTTTCATTGTGGTTCCTGTTGGAAATTTTTCCAACAGGAATCTCCCCAAGCTTTTTCTTTCAGGCTGTAGGTGATTTAGTGTACACATTGATCCTGCTATTCTTCTGTGGGTATCTGTGGGCTGTAAGTTTGATTTCCAGCAAATTTGAGCAATGGTTGTTATTCCTGGCCTTAGTTCCAAGTTAGGAAAAACAAAGTTGACTACCTTGCATCAGTTTTTTAGCTAGACCCCAGACAAGTTACTACAGTTATAATTTGTGAATAATTTGTGAAGAAGGTCTGTTCTGCTTTCTTCAAAACCAAAGGTCAAAATTCTACACTGGAAACATGGTCTGTAGCCATTACAAGACTGCTACCATGCTTGGTTATAAATCTTTAACTGTTATCAAGAATTCTGAGAAAGTTGTTTCTGATACTTTCTGCTTTTTAAAAATTTAAAAACATTTTTAAAAATGTTTTCATGTGGGAAAGGAGTTTGTAGCTGCCTACTCCATCATCTTTTTCTGATGTTACTCCTCTACATAATTTTCATATTTCTTTTTAGCAAAAAATAGCAGCCTTATACATAATGACATTTCTGTGGCTAGAAGATGAGCCTAACAACCTTTGATATTTAATATGATTTTACTTTTCTTCATGTATACACCCCAATTCTTTAAACCGTCTTACTTACCTTGTCACATAAAAAAAGTCTTTTTAAAAAAATATTAAAATGTACCACTTTAGGGTTCACAAACTTATTATGAACTTTTATAATATTTTTATATATAGTTATTATATCATTTGTCATTAGGTTTTACTCAGAAAAAAACTGACAAATCCATAGTTATTCACTTTATGCTAAGTACTGATAATGCTTTTCCAATAATTATAGAAGTTAAGTTTAAATGTTATTTAGAACTTCTTTCATTGAATATGTTAAGATTAGTTACATTAGCTACATCTTTACTGAAGAAATATTGCTCATAAAATAATGATTTATTTTTCTGTAATTTGGATATTTCCACATTTTTCTCATGCTAAAAATAAACTTTATTTTTAGTCTTATTTTTGAACCCAACAAAAGAAAAGAAATATGGTGAGTTATTTGACTGTAAAGTACCTGGTTCTTTACCACATCAGTCTAAAAGTATCAAAGGGGCAGGTGTTGGAGTATCATTTCAATAGGAAAAATAAAAATAGAGCCTAAGCCTCTGTAGCAGATGTCAAGCATGCTGACAGCTGTTAAAAGAAAAATCATTTTCCTGATCCAGTGCAAGGAGACAGGCTGTAAGATTAAAGATGTATCTCTTTATCTATGTTTTTGGCAGATCATTTCCACTGAATAGGGCCTGAAAAAATACTTCAGATGAGAAAAGGACTCCAGGAATTTTCATCATCTCAACCACACAAAAGATATAATGAAAAGTCAGAAAGTAAAGAAACATAGAAAAATAGGAACAAAAACCTAAGCTGACCAATATTCCTGTGTAGTCTTAATCTCAAATATTACTAGGATAGTTTATTCTTGTTTAAAATACTCTAAGTACTCCAGTGGTAAAGAAATAAGACACCAAACAGTAAATGGCACATACTAAGAGCTTAATAAATAATTATTAAATGAATGAATCAAATGAACTTGATAATACATAAATATTTGTTTGTAATTCATGGATTACCTTAGTTTATCTTGTCATCCAAAATGATACACAGTATAATGGCTATTACCAAAAAGAAAAATATAGCAAATACTAGTGAAGATGCCGAAAAGGGAAACTCTTATGTGCTATCATTGGAAATGTAAACTAGTACAGCTATTATAGAAAACAGTGTAAAAAATCCTTGTAAAATTAAAATTAAAACTACCACATAATCCAGTAGTCCCTAACTGGGTATATATCCAAAGGAAATAAAATCAGTATGACGAAGAGGCACTTGCACATCCTTTACTGCATCACTATTTATAACAGTTGAATTAGGTTAGAATCAACCTGAATGTCCATCGACAGATGGATAAAGAAAAGATTACACACACACACACACACACACACATGAAGACACATACAAGGTAGTGTTATCATTTTATTCAGCCATTAAAAAAAAGAATAAAATCCTGTCATTTGCCACAACATGGATAAACCTAGAGAACACTGTTAAATGAAATAAGTCAGACACAGAAAGACAAATACCACATGTTCTCACTCATATGTGGAGTCAGAAAAAATTGATTTTATACCACTAAAGAATAGAATAGGAAAAATGATTACCAGAGGCTATAGAGGCTAAAGGGGAGGGATGACTGAGAGAGAGAGAGGTTGGTCAATAGATCCAAAAGTTATAGTTCGACAGAATAAGTATTGGTGTTTTATTACACACTAGTGTTACTATAGCAAATAACAGTGTATTGTATATTCCAAAATATAAGAGATTTTGAATACCGTCATCACAGAAAAATGATGAATGTTTAAAGTGATGGATATAGTAATTACCCCGATTTGATCATTATACTATGCATACATGCATTGAAACATCACATTTTACCCCATAAATATGTGCAATTTTTATGTCAATTATAGAGTTCAAAATTAAATTTTTGAATGTTACTGTTAATTCCTATAAATTGTATTAAATTCTCAATATTTTAATAATTTAAGTTTAGTTACACAAATGATTTTGTGCATATTCACTAGTAAAATTTTTAATATTAGAGTAAGATTAAAGTTGAAAATGTCTTTTAATACCCAATTCAAGACTCTCCTTTCTCTCCTAGTTTATTACATGTGTTGCTCCATTTATAAAAACACTTATATAAGAAATATAGTAGGTAGTACAACAGAGTGTAATGGTTTGTCTGTAAATTACAATGTTTTAAAATGTAAGAGTATATCTTAGCAATGTTTTCATATTAATACACATTGAGCTACACAATTTGCATAGTATTCCATAGCATGGATAAATTAGAGGTTAACTATCTTTTTCCCTGCTGGTAGACATTTAGTATTTATGACATTTTTACTATTGCAAATATTGCTACTATCAATGTTCTTGTATATATTTCCTTGCATTTTCTGAGTGTTCCTTTAAATATAGAAACTGACAAGTAGAATTATCGGGCAAAGAAATACATGTTTTAAATTTAAGTTGAAATTTCCCTCATTTTGTGTAAATGTTGTAATATAATTATTTTGTTATTTTTACTGTTATTAGTGTGTTCACTGATAAGCTGTCCTTACCTCACATGTCTATTCAAATTAGATATATTTTCAGATAAGATGTTAGAAGATAAATAAAATATGTTCATTTCCAAATATCCTTCTTATGTTTTCTCTGGCATAAATTTTCCATTTCAGGAGGAAGTATTATGAATTATACCTTGAAAACTTTTACAAATTTTCCTCCTATGTTAGTGTATGTTCTATGCTCTACTAAACTGCATTATATAGTTTGTTTAGGCTCCATTTAAAATTTCCAGCTTATTTAAAGGTGACTTAATCGCATGATAACATTCTCAGATGTCACCAAGGGTTCAAATCTTTACTTTCTAAATGTCAGACATAGTGCTTTGCATATGATCAATATATTCCAAATAAGTATAGCTTTATAAATATTAATTACACCAAGGCCATCTTTATAAAACTCAAATCAGTTTCCTGGGTTAGTTTCTTCTTATTAGTTTTGCTGTATATGGACCTGAGATATTTAAAAATAAAATACATATTCAGTAGAATTCAAATTCATCTGTTATTTTTGGCAAAACAATATTGAAAATTTTCAGAATATAGACATTAATTATTTTCATAAATAGTTTGTAGAAAAGATATGATGCAGTGTCATAATCATTAATGTCAAAAAGCTTTCTTAGTGTCCAACTTCTCTTTCTGCAATTTAAACCTATTATTTCCTATCTAAATGTGAGTTGGAACTTAGAAGAGCCATCTACAACCACGTATGCTATATTTGAAAATTACTAAATTCTCCCACCATTGTGTCTCTCAGTTCAGTTCTTTGGTTTGTTGTTTGTTTGAGAGAGTTTTGGTCTTGTTGTCCATGCTGCAGTGCAGTGGCGTGGCCTCCCAGGTTCAAGTGATTCTCCTGCCTCAGCCTCCCGAGTAGCTGGGATTACAGGCACACACCATCACTCCCAGCTAATTTTGTGTTTTTAGTCGAGACAGGGTTTCTCCATGTTGGTCAGGCTCGTCTCAAACTCTGGACCTCAGGTGATCCACCCGCCTCGGACTCCCAAAGTGCTGGGATTACAGGTGTGAGCCACTGTGCCCGGCCTCAGTATAGTTTTTTTTTTTTTTAATCTTTCCAGATGGAAACTATTTCCAACGTGACTCTTTAAAGTTTTGCAAACCATATGTACACTACGTAGAGCAAAGTAAATATAATATATTTCAAAGGAAGTTAGCCTTTGAGAGTCACATGCTGCTGTTCTTAAATTCAACAATCATGTTTGCTTTGGTTTTAAGCACGATGACCACTATTAAGTTTTTACTTTGAAAAGGAAATGAAAATGCCCAAAACACAGTTGCTTCCTCCTCTTATAAGCACTGAGTATGATGACCAGAGACAGCCACTGGAAGGAATTGAAAGGATATAAATATATTTTAAAAGTTGTACTTAAAATGTTACATTAATGGAATAGATCTTTGTGCTTGTTTAAGCATTCATTTTTGGATCACAAACATTTACGTATTTGGCAATGGCAATATTCATCAATACTTTGACAACACCCAGAGGAATGAGTATATATCTCTTGAAGAAAAACTATATTGGACTTGGATTTTACCTTTTAGTGTCCCTTTTTGTGTAAAGACATTCCTTGACTGTGTCGTATGTATCTTTATTTGAATCTTTGTAACTTACACAACACCAAACAGTGCCTTATATTCCTTAGGTATGTGTTACAGGCTGACTTGCATACCACCCAAATTTGTATGTCAAAGTCCTCACCTCCAGTCACTAAGAATGTGTCTGCATTTGAAGATAACATTTTTAAAAAAGAAATTATTACATTAAAATTAAGTCATTAGGGTGGGCCTATTCCAATAGAACTGGTGTCCATATAGAAAGAGATTTGCATATAGGCACACACAGAGGGTAGACCATGTGAAGACACAGGGAGAAGACAGCCATTTACAAGTCAAAGAGAAAAGCCTCAGAAGAAACTAAAACCTTGCCACCACCTTGATCTTTGGATTTATAGCCTTCAGAATTGTAAGCAAATATATGCCTGTGTGTAAGCCACCAAATCTGTGATACTTATCATGACATCCCAACAACAACAAAAAAAACAAATATGCAATTTAAAAATTGTGAAATCAACGAAGCTCGCAACAGGTAAAGCAGAATGGTGTAGGGGAAGAATGATTTTACATTAAATGATCTTTTAAAAAATGTATCTTAGCCTTATGATATTCAAAGAACTCTAAGTACTGTAATTAACAGATGCAAAACTTCTTAGGATGTGGCATACTTTTGTCAGAGAAAATTTTAAATAAGGTAATGAATAGTATGCCATTTTACTGTAGATTTGTTCCATATATGGAACAAACTAAGATATGGGTAATTAATATGATAGACTGTGTGTGTTTGACACTTGTACAAGATGAAGACATGAAAACTATACAATATTATATAATGATAATAATCTTAATTAAATCATGATAATCTCTCTCAATATAGAGGAAGAAAATGTATGCTGTATCCTTTTCCTTATGTACTTATTAATATCAGTTTCTAACTAGCATATTATATTCTTATTAAAAATTTTCATTGTGCCTGCCTTTCCCTTAAACAACTGGCCATGCATTGTGCTGACTACAAATTGTTTTAATTCACAGACAGAATTACAGAAATTAAAAGATAATTTTAATACTTTCCCAGCACTACAAATTATTTGTATCTGTACACACACATTAACTCTCCCCTGTAGTATCTCTGGGTGAACCATCCTTGCTCCTAAGAAAACTCTTTTACCCATTTGCTACAATCTATCTATCCTTTTCAACCTGACACTCACATGCTTTGGCAAGTTTCCCTTTTACATCTGTAACATCAGATTGTTTCTCTGCATGGGATCATTCCCATTGTAGTACAAACACACACTAAATTCTCATCTTAGAAAAAAAATCACATAGCTATAAATAAAAATTATCCTCCCTTGACCCTGATATTCTTCCACATCATTCCTAAATGTGTACAGAGAAGTTTTTACATGTAGAGCTTACATTTATTCAGTTCTTATTATCTCTTACACCAATTTTAATCAGGCTTTTATTCCCTCCAAGGAAGCAGCTCATTTCTGTACTGACTACCCACTTCAACTGGGCTTTTTTTTTTTTTTTTTTTCTTAAACAAGCAAGTTTTCAGCATTTCTTACTTGAAAGAACACATTTTGGACAATGAGATACAGCAATGAACTAAACAAAACTAAACAGACTAAACCAAGTGTCCTTTTTCATTGGTATTATAACATGGAAAGCAGTTGAACCACAAAAAAGAATGAAATTATGTCTTTTGCAGCAGAATGTTCAGAACTAGAAGCCACTATGTAAAGTAAGGTAACTCAGAGAAACAGAAAGTCATCCCACATTTTCTCACTGATAAGTGGGAGCTAAATAATGGGTACACATGGATATACAGGATAGACTAATAGACACCAGAGTCCCCAAAAGGTAACAAGATGGGAGGGAGGCGAGGGTTGAAAAATTACCTTTTGGGTACAAGGTAATTGTTTGGGTACTGGGTACACCAAAAACCTACAGTTTACCACTGTGCAATATAGTTACATAAACAAACTGCACTTGTACCTCGTAATTCTATACAAAATTTAAAAAATAATATTTAAAGAAATTAGATAGCAAGAAAAATTAGTTCCTTAGAACTTCCTACTCACAGTATATTCTGGACAACTAGCATTGGCATCATCTAGGAACATGTGAGAAACACAAGCTATCAGGCTCTATGACAAGCCTGTAGAATCAGAATTTCCATTTTACCGAGATCCCCAGGCATTCAAATAAACATTAGAGTTTAATTTAAGAAACAGTGAAAAACTCTTAACAGAAGATACCTACTTGGAAAATATAGACCTCTAATATTTTGTAAATTCGTATTTATGAATTATTTTAATCCATGATTTATTTAATGCTATCTTTGCTTGGTGTTATTTCTGTGGTTTGCATTATAAATTCCTGTTGGTTAAGATTTCACTTAGTTGCGAGAAACAGAATAGCCAGTACCACAGATATAAAATGTTATTGCCATTCTTCCAGCAGCTCAAACAGCATCACCGCTGATATTTCTCTGATTATCTCAAAAATTCAGTAATGTTGCAGGATGGTTTTTACCTTCAAGCTGGAAAAAAAGAGAAGGGATATGCCAAGTATGGTTTCTGTTTTCATCAGAAAAGTAGAAGCTTTCCCCAAAGCATTCTCATCACAAAATGTATCATCTTATTTGTTGTGTGCCAAAAGTGGGTAATTTGGCTACAACTAGTGGCAAGATAGACTAGAAAAGTAACTACATGGCTTTCTAGGTGATATACAAAAATATTATAAGAGCAAATATGATTAGAAATGTCTCTTGGAATAGAAAAGCAGCAGTGTCTGCCACAATATCATAGATACATTAACTGTGTTTTTAAACTATAAATAGACATTTATAATAATTATTTCTCACTACTACTACCACTAGCACATCCATCTCCACACTAATTATCACCAATGTAGATTTTCTCTTAACGGAGAATCTCAGGAACTACTACCTTTACTACTACTCTCATATGGATCCAATGGTTTAGGTCATTCCTAGGATTTAAGTCACACAATATGGGCACAAATAACATACAAAATATATGTTCTTTATGTTAAAAGTAAAAAGAATGAAATATATTTGTGGTGAGCAGATACTGCTTTGCTGTCTTTGAAGAAGTAGGCTCACATGTTTTGAGTTGCCTATGAAGATATGCGCATGGCAAAAACGGTAGAAATCTCTTGCCAGTAGCCACATGAAAACCGAAGCACTCAGTCTGACAGCCTGGAAACTTACCACCTGGGTTGCAGCTTTACAAAATAAGTCACCATGCCATGCCTGGACTCCTCACCCCCAGAACCAGTGAGATCATGAATGGGTGTTGTTTGAAGCTGCATGTTTGTGTTAATTTCTTACACATTGATAGATAACTAGCAACAAATTCAGTTTTTAAATGATATATAATTTGATATCTTTAATTTGTCCATAAATAATCCTTGATGAGACATTTTTATGAAAATACGTGGTGTGTATTTTAAAAATAGAACCTATTGTTACCAAAATATCACTATCAGTGCTTACCATAGCTTTTCTGCACAGAGTATACACCTGTTGCTGCTAGTCTCTAGAAGCGACTTTTATTTTTATCTTTTTTCAGTCATGCAAAAATGTATTTATTTTTGTTTTACCATAATTTAATTTAATTTATATTTCCTGCTCCTATTTTCCAAAATGAAAGAAATGCCATCTTAGTCAATTCAAATTTATCTCAGTTCTAGGTTTAGACATGTGCTATTTTTAAAATCTCTTACATTAGACATTAAAAAGAGGAGATAAATATACTTGGTCATCATTTTTAAACCCAGACATCTTCTGTTGTTTTTTTTTTTTTATTTTTAAACTTTTATTTTAAGTTCAGGGGTACATGTACAGGTTTGTTATATGCTAAACTCATGTCACAATAGTTAGTTGTACAAATTAATTCATAACACAGTTGTTAAGCCTCGTGCCCTGTAGTTATTTCTTCTGATCCTTTTCCTGCTCCCACCCTCTACCCTTAAGTAGATTCCATTGTCTGTTGTTTCCCTCCTTGGGTCCATGTGTTCTCATCATTTAGCTCCCATTTATAAGTGAGAATAGGCAGTATTTGGTTTCTTGTTCCTGCATTAGTTTGCTAAAGCAAAGGGCCTCCTGCTCTATCCATGTTCCTGCAAAGGACATGATCTTGTTCTTTTTAGTGGCTGCGTAATATTCCATGGTGTATATGTGTGAATTTTTTTTTTTAAATCCACTCTACCATTGATGGGCATTTGGATTGATTCCATGTCTTTGCTATTGTAAATAGTGCTGCAATTAACATATGCATGCATGTGTCTTTATGATGGAATGATTTATAGTCCATTGGGCATATACCCAGTAATGGGATTGCTGGCTCAAATGGTAGTTCTGTTTTTAGCTCTTTGAGGAATCACTGCACTGCTTTCCTCATGGCTGAACTAATTTACACTCCCACTGACAGTGTATAAGTGTTCTTTTTTCTTCACAACCTCTCCAGCATCTGTTGTTTTTTGACTTTTTAATGATAGCCATTCTGACTGGTGCAAGATGGTATCTCATTGTGGTTTTGATTTGCATTTCTCTAATCATCAGTAATGCTGAGTTAAAAAGCAACATTTAAAAAGAAACTCACAAATTAGGACACTGAGTGTATGTGTGTTTGGGGCATGTGAAAAGCTTTTTCCAAAGAAAAGCCTGCCATATGGTTCCTTATTTGGATATGCATCATTCTCATGATGTGAATTTTAATTCCAACTTAAAATTAATAGAAATTTAAAAATGTGGACTACATATCTGCTAGTCAAAGAGTAATTTTAAAAGTTATAAATGTTTATCACACCACATAGACCAGAAGAAGTGAGCATTTCCTAGAGGCTTTTGTGCCCCAGTAGTTGTTTCACCAAATTTATGTTTATAGTAGATAATTCTATTTTTAATTGTTCTATTATTACTTTCAATTAGCAAGCCATTACAGTGAACCTGTTATTTTACTTTTTTCCTACTTAAGAGAGAGTTCATTTTTCTGTATCAGGATTCAGACTATCTAAATGGCAAATCCTGCTCTGTTTTTTAATTCATCTATTCTGATTAATTAAATATTTAACATTATCATTATTTACATTTATCCAATAGAAAGAAAATCTTTTCAAAGTAAAGAAGTTTTGTGGCCTCAGGGAAGTGTGAACCATAATGACAATGCCAATAAAAATCAAGAAAATGAACTCTGGACTTGTTATATTGTATCTGTAATAAAAAGGCTATTCTCAGAAAGGAGAAACTAGGATTCTTATATATGGAATATAATTCAGAAAATCATATAGCTCTTCTGGTTTTCCATAGTGTCATTATTTTGTTTAAATTATTACATACTAGGAATTCATTATGTATAACCATGCTAAAGAGCAATAATAATAAATTTTTGAAACATAAGATTTGAATTATGAACCATTTTGTATTGTCCCTTGTATTTACATTGTAGAGTTAGCCGTACTCACCGAAGCTTAAAATGTGATTCTTCTTTTGGCATCATCTTCCTTTATAACTGTAGCACTAAATATTTACCTTAACTAGAACTCAAAACTCTTAGAATTCCTTACCTGATCTCTACTTAACCTTACTGTAAAAGTTTCTTTGAGAACAGCAGTCACAGCTATCATATTTATAGTTGTATTTTTAAACTCAACAAAGTGGGTGCTCAACAAAATATTTGATGAATAGCAGAATTCTTTTAGACCAGTAGGATTTTCATGCTACATTGGCAATTTTATCATAAATTTTAATTCACAAATTGCTAATTTGGAACTTCAGTTAATTATGGTTTCAGGTGTCCAATTTAGCTCCTCAAGAGAGCTTACAAGCTTACATATCATTACACAATTAACACGTAACAATTTTATTCATGAATTTTGAAATTCACACATGCTTTGAACAAGCACAGCAGTATACTAAGGGAATGGGTTGGGAGCAGTTCAAATTATGAATAGCCATTTGGGGCAGCATTGTCAGTAGACAATATAAAAGCAATAATAAACCTACTAAATTTTAGTCTGCTTTGTATTACCACCATGTGTTATCAATTGTAAACAATGTCAGCAATAAAATACTCTTCTTCAAAAGTATGTACCACTTCGACAGTCCCTGCCTTGGTTAAGTCCCTGAAGAAGAAATCACTAAATAAGGATTGCTGCATAATTCATGTATAAAAATCTCATTTGCTTCCTATCCCTAACGAGAAGTGTGAACTCTCAATAAGGAACAAATACGCATAAAGTCACGAACACTTAATTTAGGACACTATGACTAGAAAGGCATAAATTGAATGGGTGGGAGTGAGCAATCAATAAGCAGTCATTTGGGAATGAAGTAATTCCAAATTGAAAAAGAAAGGAAAAGTACAATAGTGTACTAAATGCTAATATAATTATATTTTAATTTGTTTATACAGTATATGCAATAAAATGGCTTGGGAATATTATTAGAATGTAAAAATTAAATCCCTTATTCTTGTTCATAGTTTTCTGTTTATTTTTAATCACTTTTTTACTCTTGATGGTTAGTCAGTGCTCTTTTTCCTTTAATTTGAAAAATATTTTATTAAAAACTAACATATGCTCATAGTAAGACAAAACCACAAAACATTTTACCACATATTAATACTCTTTTAAAACATGTCGATGCATACCCTTCAGACTTGATATACTTATGAATATGTTATAAAAGAATCCAGCAAATGGTTACTATTTCACAAATTGTGTTTTAAAAAACTAATATTTTATACAAAAATTAGCCGGGCGTAGTGGCAGGCACCTGTAGTCCCAGCTACTTGGGAGGCTGAGACAGGAGGATGGTGTGAACCCGGGAGGCAGAGCTTGCAGTGAGCCGAGATCGCGCCACTGCACTCCAGCCTTGGTGACAGAGTGACAATCGGTCTCAAAAAAAAAACTAACATTTTACTTTTCCATTATTGTTCTGTAGGCAATAAAATTCTACAATTACTTTCAATTACTACATGATATTCTATTATAAATATGAACTTTATGTATAAAACATCTCATTAAAATATTATTTTGCTATTATAGATAATAAATATTTGACAATAAGTATATTTATAGACTAACTATTATACTCATTTCTATTGTTTTTTTTAGTAAAGACTCCTACAGGTGGACTTTTCATAGCAAAGGATACGGACAGAGCCACTTAGTATATATTTTATGATCACTTTACACATGTAGGCGCTAATTTTTGTAAGCTTCTGAAGGTATGATGATGATGGTTGATTCAGGAAGTGAAAAATAAATTGGTTTTAAAATGTTTATATAAAGCAACAAAATCAAAATTAATAACTGCCTTACAGGTAATATTGTCAACCTAGTAACATGATTACATTTAATATTGCTAACATTTCTCCTTGCAAAAACAGTTTATAGCTTTTCTTATTTCACAAGAAATTCCAAGTAGGCTTGGTGGTCAAAAAATAAAAGTCAGGCAAGACTTATATATATATTATCATCAGAAGATTGTACCAATTTGTAAGTATTTTAAATAATTTGTTGATACATACAAACCAATGGAATAAATTTCAGTGATTCTTTAGACCCAGATGTCTCCTCTCTTTCCTGATAGAAATTCTGCAGTTGACCTGCATACCAAGGAGTAATGCTTTTTAAAGGTAATACACTATTGATAAGGAAGCAACACATTCTAGTTCAGAGGGATGATGATAGTTATCTATTTAGAATACTAACACTCACTGATTTAAGTGGGCTTTAAAAAATAATGTGCCAGTTCAGATACCAAAGTTAATGAAGACGTAAGGGGAATGGGAGAGAAAGTTTAGCCTGTCAAAATGTGACTCTCCATACAAATTTTTAAAGACGGAAGTAGTCTTTGATTCAACGTACATCAGCATAAGAGAGTTATGACACTAACCCACAAGTAACTGGTTAATTTCTCTTACATTGAATGTTTCTGACTTGTCAATAATTTTCTTTCTTCTTCTATCCATTTCAGATCTGAGGAGCTATAAAAGAGACATCATACCAGACTCTACTCCAGAATGGAAATGTCCAATGCCTAATCAGAAGCCAGGGAGTAGGGTGAATGCGATAGATAAGAGATCATCATCCCAACCTGCAGCCCTCATTACTGCTCGTTCTATGGAGTAGTCATTTTTTGTTTTTGTTGTTTCTTTACTTCTCTAAGAAACTTGCTTTTGCTTAAAAAAAAATAAAAATAAAGGAGATAAGAGAACATCCAATAAAAGAAGGCAAATGTTGTGTGCATAGAGATTACTAGGTTAAGGAAAGCAGGCCAACTAGCATTAAACCAACCCATACCTTTGTTCAACACTTAGAATGAAATCTAAATTTATTTCTCTGGCGTTGAATAAGCCTATGACATCAACCTGAACTACTCTTCTGCTCACAGCATTCCAGACACATTGACTATTTCATGCATCTTTGTCCTTATTGCTATACCTGGAATTCTATCCCCCACCTTCCCCACATAAAGAACACCTTTCTATTACTTCTTCTATTAGTCATTTTTAAACAAAACTCAATATTTCTGTCTATTTTACTGTGTCCAATACATACTTTAGTCAAAGAATCTAGGTCAGGGTTTTCAACGTTAGCGCTACTGACATTTGGGTTTAGAAAAATTTTATTTTGAGGGACTGTTGATTGAGCGGTTTGGAGGGATCGCTCACTGAAGACGGTTAGCCACATCTCAGGACTCTGATCTCTAGCAGGGTAGTAGCATCCCATCAAATTTCAACAAGCAAATATGTCTCCAGATTTTGCCATGTGCCTCAAGGAGGAAAGTCATCTCTGTGGCTGAAATTACTCATTTAAGCCCATTTTTATTGCACTTATTTGCATAGAAGCATAACATTTCTTCTTACAGCATTCTTTCTTGAGAGCAAAAATCACAATGCCTGAGTCATCTCTTTATCACCAAAGCGTATCCCAGGATAAGACTCCTGGAAAACACTTAAGAGGAGTTGTATTCACTACAAGACAATAATATCAAATAAAAGTATACTTAAATCATTTTAATTCTTAAAAATCATTTTAGATATTGAAGGATCAAGGCAATTTCCCCAGAAATTGCCCTGACCAAAGGGAATACCTTTCCCAAGGTTAGTCCCTTTACCTGGGAGCAGCTTGCATCCAGGGACTTGCTGATACAAACACACAAATGCCAAATCCCTGTGGCTCATTTGAGGTAATGCCTGAGAGGTCAACTCCTTATTAGATTGGTTGGCATGGCTGGCATAAGGGCATCAGAGTTCACCTTCTTCCTCTGCCCTGTCTTGTGTCTCTTACACCTTTGTAGGTATTGTTCTCAAGTGCACTCCCTAATGAGGATCCTTAAAATATCTATAGAAAAGTCTATTCTGCACAGAAGGTAGCCTCCTTACCTTGAAATCTTACAGAGTCAGATACCTTTTTGTCTCCTTTTAATTGAACAAAAGGTGTTCAATTAAAACATTAGGAAATACTCCCATTGATTGTCATATCAATGGAAATATATAAAATATCTTTCTTTATAACTTAAGGGTGATTAATAGGGAAACACATTTTCCCCTATTCACACAGTAGTTTGAAATCGTTATTTAGCAGCTTTAGAGCACAATGTTTGCTATATTAATGTACACTTTTTCCCAGTGAAATAATAAGTACATTTTAGTAAAAAAGCAAAAAAGAAAAAAATTCCCAGCCAGGATTCTTAAGTTAAGTAAAATCCCACAACATTAAGATATTTAAAGGAATAAATCTAATTTAGTTTTCACAAATATCATTGACATTTATACTAGCAAACTGTATTATATTTTAATTTTGATCACATATCAGCCTCAATTCTGTTTCTAGCATAACAGTTTACTTCAGTAATATCTTCATTTCTTTTTCTAATTTTGGAGCCATTTTCCTGGTAGTTATGATATTTCATAAATTAACAATGCTTATACTTAAAATTTTAAATCTATCTTCCAGAAGGAAAAAACACTTGATATCTCACCAATGCTAAGCCATATATTTAACATTAAAAAATATCAGAGCAATAACAAAGCTAGAAAATCATATAGAGTTGGGAATCATTAAATGCAATGAAACTTTATAATTAAATATTTCAATTAATTATTATACCAATTAATATTTACTATCCTTCCAAGAGTACTCTCTCACACAACTAAATACAACAAGGGTAGGTATGACACAATCAACATAATAAGGGAATTAGGCATAATTGTTGATGCCACAATTATATAAGGGATTGTATTATCATTTTTGTGATTAGATATTCAACCAGTTTGTTTTGCTTCTATACTACTTCCACACAGATATTTCAGCAAAAAACTGGCTCATTTTCAGACATTATGAGTTTCACCTGTCTTAATTATCATCATCTGCTACCAAGAAACTCAAAACAGAAGGATAAAGTAAATTAAGAGTAAATTTGGTGGCAACATCCACCTGTAGAGTTAGAAATTGAATTTATATAGACAAGAGTTTATTTCTCTTTGAATTTTGGTTTTCAATAATATCCACCTAAAAATCAGAGAAAAATATTACCAAATATGTTGAATACATTTGGGAATCTTTGTAAAAGTTTATATTATAGAAGCATGATTTTGGCACGTTACAGGTGCGTCCTTCAAGGGAAGAGTATAGGTGAAGCTTTTATTGGCGAAAGGGAGAAGTTCACATAACCTGCTGACAAACAGAGTTCATTAGTCCCAGATGCTCAAAGCCAGAATTGTCATCAGTTGATTGGTGGAGATGCTGTTACAGGACAAATGTTATTTTCTGGAGCATCTTATCTGAATTGCTGAAGCCCTAAAGAATGTCTAGTCATAAACCTTGTCACAGAAATATGTGCAGAAGTGTGCACATAACCTGCAAGCCATGAAAAGTGGGAGAACATGAAGAACATGAAGGGACTTCTTGTGGGGCCATTTTCAAGATATTTTTTTCTTTCATCTCAAACAGGTAAGTATGAGGTTTTCTCCTTCATGTTCTCCCAGCCACAATTTGTGTGGGTTTGACTAATGACTTCAAGTTGATAGCTGCAACTTTCACATTTCCCTCTTTTGGTCTAGGTATTTCTTCAAGAGCATCCTATTAATTCATGTTGTAATCAGGTTGTGAGTGCCCCTTGGTGCCAGAATGGACCTGTCCTAGTTAATTGGTCGGGTCCACATCAGGAAAGATAATGAATAGTTGAAAGTCAGTGTCAAGACCCTTTTAATCACTTTTGAGCAACAATGAATACAGAAAGAGAAGCTCTCAGTCTTAGTTAATGTAGATTGCATCATTAAGTTTGATTACTCTTACATGGCACTATCATCTCAAAGCACTGGGCCAAAATTATTTTTTCAGGAGTTGAATTTCTGAAGAGATTTAACAGGAAACAGGCAAAAATTTTAAAAAGAAAAATATAAAGCAAATATAATAGCAATATTACAATTCCAGTTTGCATTATGGTTTTGAGCCATGAACCTAGATTTACAGGCAACCAACTGAACAGATCAAATGACGAAGAGGAACTGGGTAAGACTTTTTATATTCAGATGGCTTATTCTTTTATATGATATAACTGAGCCTCAACTTTCCCAGAGGAATTTATCCAGGTACAGCATGTTGCATTAGCACAGGTACTATTTTACTCAGCTAACAAATGATCAAGAGCAATCCTGTTATCTAAGACTACCCTTACAGTAGAAGCTAACAAATGCTGTTACAAAGCAATAGCCATCACAGCAGAGTCTGCAAGAATTCCTAGGGTAGGAGATAAATTTCTTATTTATTCATTAGTGGCTACACCATACCATGATACAAAAGATCTGGCAAATCCAGAGGCCCACAACTCACCAGGTTACTCATGTTTGACCCTTTGATGTACTGAGAGGGAGCTAATCCATTGGTTATTCCAGTGATTGGTTTCAGATGTCAGTTGTCAATTATGTATCACAAATATGCCAACACTCATTGGCCTTTAAATGCATACACATTTGGGGGCACATTCTGAGATGTGTCACACACAAAAGTAAATATACCCAATAGGAGCTCAGACACTTCTTTCATCTGTGATTTTTCTGTATAAGGTAGAATTGAACCAGGGCCAATTGTATCACTGTAAGCTATAATAACCCCTCATCCTTAAATCAGTTACAATAATTTTTCTACAAATGTTAGGGAGTCTGAATGAACAATTTAGAAGTAACAATTTATTGAAAATCCCCGAGGCAGAATTAGGAGGCCACTAACAAGGTAAGGCAAAGAAGAGGAGTTAAGGGTAAATGAGGAAGCTTCAACAGAAGCTTCATCAGAAGCCTTCAACAGAAGCCTTCAACAGAAGCCTTCAATAGAAGGGTACAACAGTGCAATTTTTACAGGTGGTTTGAGACGAGATCTTAGTGAAATCTGTTATAGGTTGAAGTAGGGAGTTATTAGAGTCATAAACGTGTTGAAGTTTCTGATGGCACATCCAAAAATTATTAAGAATTCCTGGTGGTGACAGACTGGAAAATGTCAATAAGGGCATTTTCCTTTTAGGGGAGAGGGATATAAAATAAATGAGAATCAGAAATTAGAAAAAGATATACAGGCCTGGTCCATCTTGGGAAAAGTCGTCTATTCAGATGCTATCTTCTTCAAATCCCAGGCATTTTTAATTTCAATTTGTTGACAGGAATGCAGGTCCACAAAGAAGCTGATGTTTTCTGTAGATGAGATACATGTATCCAGGAATCAATTACTTTAAGTTTAGTAGCACAGGGGCTAGTCAACAGGTCCTTGTAGGAGCCTTTCCATTGAGGTTGGAGTAAGTCCTTTTGTAAATGTTTCCATCAGACAAAATTTCCTGATTGTATGTTATGGCATTTCAGGTCTCCAGGGGTTGCACTGTGGAAGGATTTTTCTGCCAGAGTATATTTTTCATCCATTGCCTTGATTATACTTTCACAATATTAAATAATTTCACCTTTTATTAATTTTGTGTCAAAATAAGTTTAGGCTAAATGTATAGGTTGTCCAGTAATTATCTGGAATGGTGAGAGATTATGTAATGCAAAGAAATCTCTCTTAAATTCAGAAGCACTAAGGACTTTTGTTTATGTCAAGTGTGAGGTTTCCATAAATGTTTTCAATTATGTCTTTAGAGTACTATTAGTTCATGTACCTAGTCCAAAGGATTGGAGACAATAAGCTCACGGGAATTGCTGTAAGATTAGCCAGATAGCACACACTTGTTTTATAACTTATTCAGTAAAATGAGTCACTGTGGAGCTCCAGGGGTATTCCTCAGGTAGGGATTCTCTTTTATAAAAGGACTTTAGTCACTGCTGAGATATTGGCTCATCTGTAGAAGAATGCTTCAACTCAATGGGAGAACACACAGATGAAGAAAAAACATATTTGTATCCATGCGAGGAAGTAAGCTATATAAAAATCCATTTGCCAACCTCAAATGGCTCATCTTGTAGATTAAAATGCTCATGGGTTGTGTCACTGGCCTTCTAGGATTAAATATAGGACAGGTGGGGCAGGCTAAATAAGCATTTTTGGCCACTTTATTGATGTTGCCTCACCAGTATTACTGCATAAAATTGATAATCTTTTCTGTAGCCCAATAAGTTATATTATCTATGTTAGTTAATGAGGAACATTTCATGGAGTCTAACAAAACAGGTTTTTTTTTTTTTAATCATTCCAAAACCAGAATTCCTCTTTATCACTCAATCAACTGCCACTCTTTATCTAAATTTGTTTTTCAGCTTCTGATGCTCAATTCTGTGCACCTTTAGTAATTGTTTTAGTATTGTCATTGGGAGTCTCTCTAGGAGAAACATGGCAGAGATTTGATTGCTAGGACCTATAAGGGCAGCATCTGTTGCTGCATTATCAGCAAGTTAATTTCTCTAGTTTCCAGAGTATCTAGTTTCAAGTGGCCTGGAACTTTGATAATGGCTAGAGCAGCAAGTAACTTCATAGAATCTAATAATTATTTTATATAAGGGTCATTCTTCATTTTGTCCCCATTGGAAGTGAGGAAATTTACTTGAATCTACAGAATTCCAAAATCATGAACAATTCCAGAAGTTTATCTACTCCCTGTAAAAACATTCACAGTTTTTCCTTATGCAAGGAGATAAACTCAAGCAAGGACAAATAGCTCTGCCTGCTGGGCTGAAGTGGCTAAAGACAAAAGAGCTGCTTCCACAATCTCAAAGGAAGTAGTCATTGCATAGCCTGACAATACTTACCAGAATCATTCTTTAAATATGAGCCATGTGTAAACAAAGACAATGCAGCGTTGTCCAGGGAATTTCCCTGTAGATTCTCCCATTGAGTTAAAAGATCAGAGTTAAGCAGGCATGTGGTGTCTCATCTGAAAGAAAGGGCAGGAGAGTTGTAGAGTTAAGGCTATTGCAGCATTAGAGAAATAAAAAGATGTAGCTCTTAGGAAAAGCTCATTGGAAGTAAGTTGCCTGGCAGAAAACTGTTAAGTGTGATGTGAGAAAGAGGTTGAGTAAGCTTCCCCAGCATGAGAAACAAATACAGTTGGGGGTATCCCATAACAATCTCTTCAGTTGCTTTGACTAATATGGCTGTAGCAGGAACTGCTCTTAGGTGGAGCAAAAATCTTCATGCAGTGGAACCCAATTGTCAACTATAGCATCTTAGAGAACAGAATTGGCCTTCATGCTTTTGGTTTAAAACCCCAAAAGTATTTTCTTTATTTTCATATACAAACAGGGAAAAGGGATTTTATAATCAGGATTAACTAGAACTGGAATATTTACCAATTTCTCCTTTAACTAGTTAAAGGAGAAATTTTTGCTCTTCGGATTCTGTCCAAATAAAAAGGTCACATTTGGTAACTTTAAGTAAAGCAAACAGTGATTCGACCAGAAGAGAAAAGTTACACATTCAGTTATGACAATAACCGGCAAGTTTAAGAAACCAACAAGTTGGCTTTTTTATTTTGACAAAGTGAAAAACTCTTTGAATCTTTTCTAGATCTAAATGACATCAATTTTCTGAAACCAAATGGCCTAAATATTTTACCTGAGGTTTTACTGGGTACAATTATTATGATGATGATGATTTTTAGTGACTTAATGACCTTTAACAGCCAGTTGTTTTAATAGATATACACACTGTCTTTTTCACAGGATACCTGTAAAGGAGAGCAAAGATGGAGGTTATCTACATATTGTAGTAAAGTGGAGCCTCAGGGAAACAAAACACATCCTCCAAGTCTGCCCTTACTATTTGACATAAATAGGAAGGACTTTAAATAAATCCCTAGGACATTACTATTGAAGTGTATTTCTGGCTTTCCCAGGTAAAAGCAAAAAGTTTTTGGATGGGTTGATCTACTGAAATAACGAAGAATGTGCAGATCAATGATTATGAAATGCCTGCTCTCAATGGGCATTGAGTTTAATAATGTATGGGTATTCGGAGACACTAGATGTGTTGTAATAACAATATAGTTTATTGCTTGTAAGTCTTGAACAAACCTCCACCCATGGTTGCTTGCTTTATTAAAATAGGTAAAATCAGGGTATTACAAGGACTAGTACATAGAATAATAAGGCCTTGATTTTTATGTTTGTCTATAATAAGTTTAGTACCTTGAAATGCCATCTGGTTAAGTGAATGTTGTTTAATGTTAGGCAGGAGTTTTGATGGAGCAATCAGGATTTCAGTAGGAGATGCACTATAAATATTGCCACTATTTATTGATAATTTTGCTCATAGGCAAGTATTTGATTCAGTAGTGTAAGTGTGGCATCATTTCTGTTTTCTGAAAAGGAAATGGCATATCAAATGTGGAAATCTGGGGAGTCAGGTGACTCCAAAATTGAGTGAACAGTTTGGTTGCTCAAATCCTGAAATTATTTTTCCCTGTCAGGAAAAAGAAAACCTACCATCATATTTTTTTTTCAGAAAATTACATCCCAAGAAGTGGATGAGGTGATAATTGACAAACAAAACAGAGGGGGTGTCTTGAAGAGGGCCAAGGTAGAAAGGAATAGACTATAAAACAAAAACAGTTAAAGACTCATTGGAAATTCCCACCATTTTTTTTTCCAACTTTTAACTGAAATAAAAGGGGTAAATGTGCAGGATGTGTAGGTTTGTTAAATAGGTAAATGTATGGCATGGAGGTTTGCTGCACAGATAATCCCATCACCCAGGTATTAAATCCAACATTCAACAGCTATTCTTCCTGATGTTATCCCTCCTCTCACCCCTCAGTACTTGACAGGCCCCAGTGTGTGTTATTCCCCATGAAATGTCCACATATTCTCACCATTCAGCTCACACTTATAAGTGACAATACATGGAATTTGGTTTTCTGATCCTGGGTTTTTTGCTAAGGATAATGGTCTCCAGCTCCATCAATGTCCCTGGCAAAAAAACATGATCTCATTTAGTTTTATGCCTGCATAGTGTTCCATGTTGTATATGTACCATATTTCTTTATCCATTCTATCACTGATGGGCATTTGGGTTGATTCCATGTCTTTGCTCTTGTGAACAGTGTTGCAGTAAACATATGTGTGCATGTGTCTTTATATATTCCTTTGGGTATATACCCAGTAACGGGATTGCTGGGTCAAATGGTATTTCTGCCTCTAGGTCTTTGAGGAATTGCCACGCTGTCTTCCACAATAGTTGAATTAATTTACACTCCCACCAACAATGTAAAGTGTTCTCTTTTCTCCACCACCTTACCAGCATCTGTTGTTTTTCATTTTTTAATAACTCTTCTGAATGGTGTGAGATGGTATCTCATTGTAGTTTTGATTTGTATTTCTCTAATGATCAGTGATGTTGAGCCTTTTTCATATGTTTGTTAGTAGCATATATTCTTCTTTTGAGAAGTGTTGGTTCATGTCTTTTGCCTACTTTTTAATGGGGTTGTTTTTTTCTTGTAAATTTGTTTAAGTTCTTATAGATGCTGGATATTAGACCTTTGTCTAATATTGCAAAATTTTATCCCATTCTGTACTTTGTGTGTTTACTCTTTTGATAGTTTTTTTTTTTTTTTTTTTTTTTTTTTTTGGTTTGCAGAAGCTGTTTAGTTTCATTAGAGTTTTTTTTTGGTGTGCAGAAGCTTTTTAGTTTAATTAGATCCAAATTGTCAATTTTTGCTATTGTTGCAATTGCTTTTGTTGTCTTCATCATGAAATCTTTGCCTGTGCCTATGGCATTGCCTAGGTTTTGTTCTAGAGTTTTTATAGTTTCGGGTTTATAGTTAAGTCTTTAATTCATCTTGAGTTAATTTTTGTATGTGGTGTTAGAAAGGAATCCAAGGGAACTTCCACCATTTTTATCTTTTTATTACTCCACAGCAGGAGCTAATTGAGAATGGTGGCATTAAAAACTGATAGTGTTGCTCAAGTATCTGTAAGTGATAGATGCAGGAGGCAGATAAGGTGGAATGTTCCCAGAGAATTTCCAACTGGCCTGCACACTGGGAGGATGGGTGGGGCCATGGGAAATCTGTGCCCTTTGCAGGGGGAAAGAGCTTATCCTCTCCTGTTCCCGGGTGGTTGAGATTCAATCTGTGAGATGGGGGCCTATTAACAGGAACCCCTCTCACTTTGCTGAGAGTCTTTTTCCTTTTTGCCCAATAAATTCTGTAATCCCTCTCCCTTCAAGTGTCAGAGTGCCTAACCTTTTCTGGTCCTGTGACAAGAACTCAATTTTTCCTACAACATAAGCAGAGGTATTCTTACTGCAGAACTGCTTCTAACACTGGATTACATCTGCCCTAAAAAACACATCAGAGAAAAAAATATTTCCAAATACGTTAAATTTATTAGCGAATAAAAATGTAGGATTACAATCTGGCATGAATGGCCATGGCAAGCCACAGGTGCTTCTGCTGAGAGAAGGGTAAACAGAAGCTTTAGTTATCAAAAGAAAGAAATTAAAGTAAGCTGCTTAGACAGAGTTCATTGGTTCTAGAGGCTCAAAGCCAGAGTTATAATAAATTTATTGGTGGAGATGGGTAATTTGTAAATGTCTTTGACCTTTTATTTTGCTAAATCTCAGGCACATAAACATGTAAACATGAGTTTATTTTCTTCATACTTTCTCAGTCCCAATTTGTCTGGATCTGACTAGTGACTTCATCTTGGTATGTGCAACTTTCACAATGAGTTATCCAGGAAAAAAGAATGACAGAAGTGAGTATATTTAGGCTTATTAGAAAGAGGAAAGCTATTAGACTTCCTCCTCTATCCAGAGAGTAATATTTTGTACTAACCCTGACTTTAACCTTGTAACTCTTCCCCTCACACAGATTGACAGGGCTGTGTTAGCTACTGGAGGTGGTCATCATTCAGCACATTTCCATCAGTGCAAGAAAATTCCAAGTAGACTCAAAGTATTTGTTCTCCATAAGCAAATATAAATTTCTCCTGGTCTCTCACATTCTCCAACACATTCTCATTTTCTCTCACACTCACTTTTTATCTCTAACATACATATCCCATTTTGTTTTTCTCCAACTCTCTTTCTCCCTCTTTCTCACTTGCTCTTACACTCAGCCTTTTCAATTCCTTTCTCATACACACTGCCTTTCACTGGCAAGCTGACTCACTTCACATCTTTAAGTATTCTCTTTGCTCTTGTACACTTTCTGTTCTTGCTCAGACCTCCTTCTTTGTCTTCTTTCACTCATTTTCTCCTACTCAACTCTAGCATGCTCTTAACCTATTTCTCTCTGTTTTACTCATTTAGTATTTTTCTTTCTTTCAGCTATTCTGACACTTTCACCTTCACACTTCTTTGTTCCTAAATCCTTTCTTAAACTCTCTTGCTTCCACTCTTACATCTTCTCTCTTTCACTCCCTCAATTCCACACTTTCACACCTTCTCTTCTCACTCTCTCTCTCTTATACCCCTACTCTTTTTCAGGCAACAGAAAGAAGAGACTAATCTGGACTTACTTCCTCCTCCTGCAAAAACTCATCAGCTTTCTCTCTTGGGTGTACAAGAAACTTGTTCTCTCTTAGCAAGATGGTGACAAGAAGACTGTCCTCAGGGGAAGGAAAAAATCTCTTAGGGCTCGAACATTGTAACTTAATTTTACAGGTCAGCTTTAGGGCACAAGACACAGTCAAAATGACACTTGCTCCAAAGTATCTGGATAACCATGTCTTTAGCTGAAATGACTAATAGAATTATTTTAATTCCATTATTACAGTACTCAATCTCGGTGTCCATGAACTGCTCTGCAAAATTTACTCAACAAGGTGAGTCAGGAATTAAAGCCTAAAAAATCTTCTCTTACATTTGAGAAACAACATATCATCAACAGTTGTCCCAGGTTTGCTAAAATTTGGGAGTCAAAACTGCCCCAATGTCCCTTAAAGCTGAGTATTCTCTAAAGAAACCATTGATATGTCAAACATATAATGCCAACAGAAGGCAACCCAAATATTTACTTTCTTTTCAAACTTTGCCAACTTAGATTAGTATTATTCTCTTTGTTCTTGTCAAATAGATTTCTAACATAACTTATTAGTAGATGTTAGTTTCATGTATGTATTATTATTAGTTGATCTCTTGATGACTAAGGCTTTGAATCCTGTCTATATCACCTTAAACACATGATCCATGCATATGGCTTTTCTATGATATCAATAATGATTAAAATTCAAATTTTATAATTTCACAGGAAAGTGATTACAGAGTCATTTTTCTTTAAATCTTTGGATTTATCATTTGCTGAAATCTTCTTCTTTTTTTCATATTTTATTTCAACCTGACGTAGATATTGAGAAGCCTTTAATCTATTTTTAATATAAATATCAAACTTTTATTGTTTCCCTACATGATCTGTAATTCTTCCTCTTTCATTTTTGTTTTTTCAATACCAAACTATTTTAATATTGAGACTATTTTTAACCAAGAAATATAGCAATGCTGTGGAATTTTTCAAGTATTTACAACAGTCTTTCAAAATCAGTGTGGCTAAGTAGGCGTTCAAGACCACTTTTACACTGGTGAAAAAATCTGAGGTTTGCTATAATAGTAATGATGTCACTTAAATTTAACATAATTTAGATGTAAATTCTGACTAACTTTCCTACCTTATTGCTGGGCACCTTTGACACATTGAACACATGCTAATTACAGTCATAAAGAGAATACATAATTCCTTAAATAATATGTCCAGCTCTTTAATACCACTATGATCTTTCTTAGACTATCACAATTTTTAGAAAAACTATACACTCGAAAGCTTGAAAATTTTTATTATTTTTTTTTAAATCTCAAAATATACTTAATCTTGAAGCTTTCCAAGATAACTACAAGGATACTTTTTCTGTACTCTCATAGCGCGTTGTTCGTAACTCTGGAAAATTACAGCTATAATGCTTATACTAAAATAACAGATACAGTATATTGAATGCTTACTATTTGTTTAGCACAAAAAGAAGTATCTTGTTTTATTTTAATGATAACATTATTTAATAGGTATAATTATTATATTTGGAACTGGTAGAGCTACAATTTAAATCTAGGTTTATCTGATATTTAAGAACGTTCCATTTTTCCTATGTATTTCACATAGACTATTATTTCAAAACATTGTCTCATTTCTGGCTTCCCTTAAAATAGACTAAAGTAAACCAAAATCCTACAGCAGAAGCCTTACCTATTATTGTTGACCGCTAGTGTCTAGAGTACTGCCTGGCTCACATTTAAAAAATGAAAGCACAATATAATTGTTTTCAGTACTGCCAAATAAAGTATTGAGTGTTCCATGCTGAGAGTTTATTCCAGAAAGGCACATTCACAGAAGCTTTTGTTCTAAAATCAAAATGTGCACATTATCTTAGTGTTCATTCTAAGATATAAAATTCTATATTAATATACAAAATGAAAGGTATTAACTTAGGTTATCAATTTCTGACTATCAAAAATTTGTTATTTAGACCATGACTTATTTCAGTTACTAAATCAGAATATTATAGTAACAGTGCATGTTTTGTAATGTAAAATTAAGGCCTTAACTATCCATGATCCTTGATATATTTCATAGAAAATATAAAAACAGTTTCAAAAGCCTGCATATATTCTAATGTGTGACATTTTCTTCTCCTCAGTGAAGTTTCTCCTGAACTTTCAAATCTTCAAATGGAATTTCTTCCTGTGCTCAGCTGTGGAGAAATTTGCAGTGTGGCATTATACAGCTGTCAAATTCTACCCATGGGACCTGATTGGGCAGTTTACACAAGCGAAGCTTCTACTGACTCTAGGGACACTTACCATTTTTAGCATTTGTTGAGAATAAAAGGTAAGAATTGCTTCGTTTGAGAAAAACTTCTTAGAAACTATTTTACACACAAAAAGGAGAAAATATACAAAGAATAAACTGAGCTTTTAAAAATGTGTTTTAAAAAATCAAAACCCAAAACATAGCTTTCTTTTAATTTTAAAAATTCATAGAAATGTAAAAGGCATGTCCATTTTATATCTTATTTTCTAGACAAAAAAAATGACCGTCTTATAACATGTTCCAATATTTGAGATGTAGAAACAAAATAGGCAAAAAAATCAAACAAACAAGCAAGAAGAACAGCAGAGTGTGATCAAACTCAATAAATTTAAAGCGAGTCATGAAACAAAGCACAATCAAAAATACATTCAGCAGAAAGGGTTAAAAAATAAAGGACAAAAAGCCTATAGCAAGATTTTAAAAGAGGAAACAATCTCTCCTCAAACTTATTACCAATCTTTACATTCAAAACAATTTAAATCATGTTTAGCAAGCTAAAAGTTGACAACTGGAGAAATAAGTTTTCAAGATAAAAGCCTCCTAGGTAAGTCTCAATTCTGAAATGCAGAAGTCGAGGTCTTTCACACAACAGTAGAGAGACAATGTGCTAAGGTAAAAATGTACTGAGGGAAATACACTGATAGAGGGTGAGAATGTCAGAAATTTTCTCCTATTTCCTCTATCTTGGTAAAGTAGTAAATTAGGCTCCACACTGAAACAGGACCCGTCATATCTAATGATATTAAACAATATGCTAAGAAGATTGCCAGCATATTGCCAATGACAATAGACTTTGCCAGTGCGTGTGCATCCTGTAGGGGAAGAGTGGAAGGGCAGACAGCTGGCTTACATTCAACCAGCACCCCATTCAGTGAGATCTCTGGTCGAGATACTCCACCCACATCCCTGCAGCCAGTAGGCAGCCTTTCCTTTCAATAAAGTACACTTAAATAACTTGTAGCAATTAAACATTATCCTTGTAATTGGAACACAAATCCAAGAAGTGTCAGACATTAAAGGATAGTCAGGAAAAAATTCCATATTGAAAACAAAATTCCACTGGGACCTTTATTAACTGCTTGGCCAGTTCCCTTTACTGTGGATAAACTGGGCTCATACATTCCCAAATCCAACTCCTGCTATCTCAACCTTGATCTCATCGTTCTGATACGTTCAGAGACTTTGCTCTCCAATGTATCTCTTTTCTCTAATAAATTATTACTGTTTTCCCTCAGTTACATTAGTCCTGTATACAAACATACTATAATACATTTTATGGGAAGACAAAAGGAAACCTCGCTTGACCTTTTATCCGTCTAACTTCCATACAAATGTTAAGCTCCAATATAGAGCCCAACTTCTAAGGAAGCAGGTTTGCTTCTTGTTCTCTGGACATCCAGCCCAATCAGGCTTTTACTTCACTTCAGCCATTTATTGAAGATCACCAACTGGCTCTACAATTCCCGACCCAAAAGTCAATTTAAACTTGGAGGCTGGGAGCACTCTAGCCAGTAGCTGACACTGATCATCTGCCCACTGACAGAAAGGGAAAGTAGTGACCGAAATTATGCCCTGTCCTACATGGGGCTTTCTGCGCGGCTTCCTGTTGGTGTTGGTGATGGGGGAGTTGCTACAGCTCTTGCCATCTCCACGGAAGAGATAATCCCTTTGTCAATTACTGCAGCTAGAGTGCATAAGGAGAGAAAGCATTTCTGGGAGCAAGAAGTTCTTTGACATCCGTACTATACTGGGTTTACTATTCATTAAGCAGAAATGTATCTGTATTTGTGTACATCGTGTATGACAACAAGGATGTCATCTACAAAGATGTCATCACCAAACTGTAGCTGAGAACTCTTCAGAAAATGCCTGAGATGGCTACTCTGAAAATGAATATGATTATTTTGCAGAAGAGTAAGTTTCAGTCTGCAAAGAAAATGAGAAAAAGATAATAGTTTAATAACATCAGTTTTAGACAATAAGTAATGGATGAAGTGATCAAAGTATAAATAAATTAAATATTAAACTTCAATCTAGAAACAAATTGAATTAAAAAATGTTGTATTCACCGAATGGAAGGAAGCTGCATAAAATGAGGACAAAAGTGGTAACACTGCATGCCCAGCATGATGGATCTCTCATCCAGATAAAGCAGAAAAGTGACATTACAGATGCTGCCTTAAAACCATGCAGGCATCATGCAAGGTTGAAAAGATGAAATATTTATCAGTCTTCATATTTACATTCCTACTAATAGCTGTGGGATTTTTTCATCTATGGATATAATAAAGTTTATATTTAAATACATTTCTGGATATTTTTACTAAAAAAATCTCTTTTTCTCATTTCAAAGTTTAATTCTGCTTTCACTTTTATGAATATTATTTTAATTTTATGCACATAATGGATACATGACCAGTGTAAATATGTCATGAACATAATAACAGTCCCTTTATCTTTTCTTCTGTGGTTGACTTTCTAATGCTGAATGTTGCTAGACAATGTCCATTCAGGTGAATGATAAATGTAACCTAACCTATGGTACACATCCACAGTAAATGCTTTCATTATATTCTACAATGTAGAATAATTTGCATGTATAGCTCTTGGGTGCTCCATTTAAAAGGCACAATACCTTCATTACATGAATCAATCAAACTAAACAAGAACAACAAATCCTCTTTACCTGTGCCCTAAATTATCAGCTATTCTTTGAACCACTTATTTGGTTTCAGAATATTCTGTAGTTGGTTGATGTGCTAATAATAATACAGCAGGGCTTATGCACCAAAGCACTTTCCTTACCATTATCCTAGTAAATTATTCTTTTGATTGCTTTTCATGTGCCTTCCAAAAATTAAAAGAAAAATCATGTTGCGTAATGAATGTTATGATATAATGGAGAATTTTACCGCTTTTAGAACACAAAATTTTTTTTCTGTGCCTTTCATTTTAGAGATGCACTAATTGTCCACGTGTGGCATCATCTACCAGGATACTTAACTGATATTGCCAGATAGCTAGACATAATATCAAACATTAGGGACATCAGACAAAATGTCTGCAAAAATAACAACTTTGGTTCTGGCTAATAAGGATATCGGCCATAGCTTAACACTCAAAATATACCTTGCTAATCAAAAATTAAAAATAAAAAAACACTGACATATATCTGAAACAGAATATCGAGTGAGTAAAATATTTATATTTCCATTTTATCCAGAAGTCATCCTTCTAGACTCTTTTGCTGTCCTACCTTTTCCTCTCCCCCCACTCACTCACCATCCTTTATCTTCAGTAAACACTTACACACTTACTGCTCCATTAATAAACATACGCTGTTTCTGTGCATGGTTAGTTCTTTATTAGATGTACTAATTTTTATTTTGGGGCTAGTTTTTTATTTAATTTCAGATTGGTTTCTTGTTTGATATATAGCAAAATTAAAATCTGAATGTATTCATTTTTTTCTTTCATTATACAAAGTGTCTCTGTTGAGAAGTTACAAGTTTAAGGAGACAAACCAGAAATGTTGCTGGAATTTGTATCTGAACACCTTAAAACCAAACTCCTTGATGATCATCAGAAGGTATGGTTGCATTAGTTTGGTGGCACAGAGTGGAATCCATTTTCTTCCAAGTGATTACTCGGGCACCTCTTAATGCCCCACTGTCTGATTTTGACAGTAAATAGACAACTTCAGCAGTTATAACTTGAGAATTGCATAATTGGCAATGGTTAACATCCTTCAGGAATGAGGGTTTGGGTTTCTTGCATGAAATAAGACACCCAGGACAACAGAAGTACTAGCTGAGGATAATGGGAATCTAAAATAGAAATAAAAATAGAGGAAGAAAAAGTCAAGTATTAATTGTGTTCTCAAGATCAGCTGCAATGACAGACGCTGTGATTTGTCCCACTAACTTTTTACTGATATTTTTCCCCAGGAAGAAAAGCCCATGAGAATTCTGCAGTTTCTGCTTCCAGAACTTCTTATAAAAATCTGTGTCTAAGCACTTAAAGATGACAGCCATTGATTTTGCGATATACTCTTCCAGTCTCCCTTTATAATTATATAGATTTATTCCCCCATATACTGCAGTATTCCAGACTGACTGTCCTATACCTTTTCTGATATTTTCCTTAGCTGAAGAGAGATATCTAACTCTTGGCCATGTCTCTTCCCAGGGGAAACCTCATCAAATGACTGCTTGATGTGGTCAGTCAACACAGAAAATTATCCTGTTAGAACTAAATAACTTTTCTCTGGGTTTTAGTGCATTAGCAAACTACAAAGTTAAGAGTTTAAAATTTGAATGTGAGAAATACAGCCTATCTCTCCAATCAAAAAATTCAACATCTGTGGATTATAGGCTCCTTATAATATGTTACCTGAGAAGATTTCATACAAATATTCAATATAATGATATATAAATTTTAAAAATATAAGTACATTTTAACTCCAGACCTATTAAGCTTCCCCCACTTCTCTCACAAGATTGCTTCACAATATCTAACTTCAAAAGAAAGAAATTCTAGAATAGAACTCTGTCCTGGTTAATTGTCTTTTCTTTAACTGGTATAATATTAGTATTTATTATCTTTGTTTTATATAGGGTCATGGTTATGTTGGATTATTTTTTAAAATCTTGTTGTTAAGTCTCACGACTTTAATGGCATCATTAAAGTTTATTGGGAAGAAAAGCTGAAAAAGAAATTCTGTCAGATTAATTGAGCAAGTACAGTTCAGGGATAGCAAGGGATAATCTCATATATATTCACCTGTCACCTGAGAAGGAAAAAAAATTGAGCCTCCACTTAGGTGGCAAGCAACCCCACAGGCAAGGTGAAGATAGCAAGTTCAGGTACTTGAATGCAATGCAAAGTTAAGTCAATCTATATGTGACAACCATTGATTTCTCAATTTTTACTTTTCAGTAAAATTTTTAAAAGAAGTTAAAGGAGAATGTTTACAAGAACTAAGTTATTTGAGTATGCCATATTTTTTATTAGAATGTAGTCCAAACTCAATATAAAGAATAATAACATATTAGAGATAACAGACAAAATGAACAATAGCTCAGTAAAATAAATATTAATTAAGGTCATCTAAAGCTACATCTAAAGACCTTTTATTTATTAGAGGTTTTCTATAATTATATACATGAGATCTGGGCTATAAGTTTTTCTATGGGTGAAAATATAAAATATATCTTATAACAAAAGTTATTTTTCTATTTTATTCTCTATATTCCCTTATTACTCCAAATGATTTAAAATTCATTTGTTGTATAAATTTTAAATTGAAGTTGCATAAGAATGTATGAAAATGTTTTCTTTCTCAAATTACTTCAGCCATCATGCAGAAACATAACAGAGCATGGTATTAGAAACAAATACATTAAAAGAATATAGCAATTGGCGCGTGCTCTCGTCACAGAACTGAAAAATATATAGTTCACCACTTCATTCAAAACTCCCTTAAAATAGATGTATTTGTCTATAAAATTGTGAAGGTTTTGGTTGTACCTAGTGATATGATGTATTTTAATAAATTGTTAAATAAATTTCCGTGTAGGGTCATGATTATGTTTATTTTTAAATGGAATTTAAAGGTTGCAGTAACCAGTTGGTATACACAAAATATATGAGGGATTTAGTGTTCTCAAATATCTATTCACCCTTTCTTCCTGTCTTTCACTCTGATTTTTATTGGGGTACATTGCCTTCAGCCAATGACAACATCTTTCAGCCTCCCTTGTAGCTGTCTGTGTCCATGTGATTAAATTTGGGTCAATAGAACTGAACAAAAGCGAAGTGTGCAATTTCTGAGTCACATCCTTAACAAAAAAGTTAGTTGCCTCCACTCTCTTTTTCTCTTTCTTGATCTCTGAAAAACTGGCCAGCACAGAAACAATTTCTTTAACTGAAAAGAATATGGTTTCATATTATTATGTTACTTTTATTATGTTATTTTTTGTGAGGAGCATCCATTACGTTTTTCGTCTGCCACACCTTTTTTTTTTAACAATCTTGCTGTATTAGAGGAATTTGTGGCTTATGAATTTGAAGCCTCCTCCTCAGTCTTATTTGCAGTCAAAGCACAGGCATGTTACTTAGATTTCAAATGGGATTCATTCACATGGCATTTAGATTTGCAAGACAGCAGCTTGGAGCAGGAGCATCTGTACACTGTCAAGGCAAGGTGACAGAGGTGCGGCCACCACAAGAATGCACACCAGATCTCCAACTCTGGGGAGTATAATTAACCACAAGGCTCAACTGCTGTCCTCTGAGAGCCACCTGCACTGAGGCCATACTCCCACATGGCTGCTCAATGAGTGTTGCAAGATACCAAGGAAGGGCCTATTCCTGTCCTCACAACTGACTTCAGCTGGAAGACACCCTGATGGACCTTCCTGAATAATCCTTAGACTGCAAAGCAGCCAGTACACCTCCACCTACCCTAACTCCCTTTTTCTGAGCTCAGACTTGGTTGGATGTCTGATGGTTCTCCCTGCTATTCTAGCATGCTGTCATTTACTCTCACGCAGATATTTTCCCTTAAAAATCCTTGCATGTTCCGTTCTACATAGGTGTCTGCTTCTAGGAGGACCGGGATCAGTGCAAGAGGCATTTAGCTTTGAAGGAAGTCAATGGCTGCAAGATGAGTCCCTAGCACCAGAGTAGTAACAAAAAGGGAACAATAGACACTGGGGTCTACTTGGGAGTGGAAAGTGTGAGGCAAGAGAGGAGCAGAAAAGATCACTATTGGGTACTGGGCTTAATACCTGAGTGATGAAATAATTTGTACAACAAAGCCCTGTGACACGAGTTCACCTAGGTAACAAACCTTTACAGGTAGCCCCGAACCTAAAACAAAAGTCAAAAAAATAAAAATAAAGAAGCTCCCGTAAGTGAAGGAGAGAGCTAGATAGTGAGCTGTGAGACTATGCTTCTAGGGGAAATTTCCCAGTCTATATGTTAGAACTTCCCTGATAAGGAAACATCTACCAAAGCCCTCACCAGGAACTGATACCAGGACCTTGACTTTTCTGCAACTCATCACGGAAATATATTAAAGGTGGCAGATGTTCCTGTGAGTTTATATTAGTAAGACTAATAGGGAAGTGGATTACAAGAGCTTTAAAAGTTCTCTTTTCAAGCAGAAAAGATCCCTGTATTATAGAAACACATATATTTGATAAACAAATATCATAAATTTTCATATATTTCTTTAATTGTGATACATTAATTTCCTTTTGAAAATGAATGGATTGATAAGAAAATCAAAGCCACACATTTGTATAAACTGGTGATTCCACAGATTTGTGAAAAATTCTAGTGGAAAAGCCAAGTCCACTGCACTGACAAGAAAACAGTCTAAATGCTTAAGGAGTGATCCCAAAACTAAAATTTGAAATGCTGTGGAAATGTTGATTTAAGGGATAGCTTAGTCCAGGAGCTTGGCAATTTTCCTCAATGGTTTCCATTTTCCAGCCTATACAACTCAATTAAAGATTTATGCTTCAAAAGATCCAAAGATTCAAAAGTAATCATTCAATTTGGATCATGGAACCAAACACAGTAGAAGGCATTTTGCAGTTTTCCCTTGTTTCACCTGTGGAAATATTTCTTCTAAGTTTAAATAATAATGTTTTCACATGGAGAACTTCGAATGGCATCAGTAAAAATCTGTGAACACTTATTTTTAGAAGGAAAGTGAATTATTTATAAGTTTTTTCTTACTTTCAAGTCAAGTCATGAATCATTGTGTATGCCAGATCTGTTCTGTTTCACTTCATGCCTCGTTCTTCCATAATCACTCCTACATACAGCAGCTCTAGTAGAAGATGTGAATCTGTATCTGTACATTTAATTACTGTTAAGCATATTTTATAAAATTTTGCATGCCCGATTATCTAGATAGGATCGGAAACTTTTCACATTATAAATTATGATGAATTATTAACATCAGGCATAGTAGTTTAATTTTTAAATGAACTGAAGAATTATTGTTAAAATATAGGGAACAAGAAAGTATAATAAAGATGTAGTGCAATAAAAGTGATTATCTCTGAGTAAGGACAATGGATATCTTACAATGAACAATTGATTATCTCTGAGTAAGGACAATGGGTATCTTACAATGAACTCATTGCACCACTAAGTGCTATGTAAAAATGAAAGGAATGGCAGTTCCTGGATTTTTTTCCTTTCTGTAACTGAGATGGTACTGAGAACATGTGCTTATTAAAAATAAATAAATCCTTTGTAATGAAACATAGATTTTATCTGTGACATCAATAGCAATCTCGCAGAATTTCAATTAAAATTAAAATAAGTTGTATACAGAATTGTTCTGTATATAGAGCATTGTACATTTTATTCTCACTAGCATGTAGTATTTACTCTTGTTAACAGAATTTTCCTCACCTGACATTATTCAATCTTCACAACTCTAAAGAAAAAAAAATACATGTTCCCCCATGTTTGCAAAATTTCTTAATAACTTGGCTCTATTATTTTTTACTTTTATAGGGCTTATAATTAGGGTATCTGTGAATTATACAGGTTTGTCAAAATCATGGCTTCTACCGCAATGGATTCTCCATCTCACACTTAAGGGAAAGTTTGGTCGCGTATAATTGATTTACTTTAATGTTGCCCATTCTTTGGTCCTCCAGATCCATTGTCTACTCAGACTCTGCCATTCTCTACTTTCCTGGTGTCATGTATCACCCGGGTTTCCTTGCCTTCTGTCTTTTGGTTAAAGTTGGTCAAACAGAGGTACCAGCAGAAAAGTCAACGGAAGGAAGAAAGGTCAGCTCTTTTCTCAGCTTTCCTATTCCAGAAAGTACTTTTTTCGGTGATTGGATTATTTCACATTCAGCTATATCTCCTGGTAGGAAATGACTTTCGTGACTATAGCTCATATTAGTTGCTGTTAAACCACCCTCTGCCTTTGGTCCTGTGGTCCTAGGGGTAATAATGACTTCCTACTTTTGATAGTCCCTGATCTCGCCATCCATTACTGGTTCTCATAAATTTGTTAATATTATTTTGTGGTTCCTACGTGAAGTTCTCCTCAACTAACATCTCTGAGTGTATCATCTGTTACCTACTAGGAACCTGATTGATACAATAATCTATACCCATCAATACTCTATCAGTTCAAAGACACAGATACTCTTAAGGAAGCGGCCAGATTCCTTTGAGAATGAATTCTGCAATGCAAACACTAAATGTACACTCTAATTCTTCCTTTTAGCCTAAGCTACCACAAAAGGGAACGTTGGCCATACATTAAGTTTTCTCTTTACTCTGAAAAGTGAAATACATCCTTCTGTCTCAGAACTGATACTATCTTGTATTTCCTAGGAAACCAAAATGCTACTAAGGTCTTTTAATTAGAGAGAGGCTAAAGGAATTTAGGTGACAGAGAGAGTCTTAATCTCAGTACTTAATCTCAGTCACAAAGGTTTTGGTGAGACTGCAGACATATACTGCAGTTATTTCCTCAGCTTCAAAACACAGAATGATTTAATGGATTTAGTGCTCTCTCTCTCTCTGTCTCCCTCTGTGTGTGTGTGTGTGTGTGTATGTGTGCGTGTGTGTGTGTGTTTGTGTGTGTGTGCGTGTAATGAGAGGCACCTCACAAAACATAGTTAGGGCTAATTTGTAGGCCAGGCAAAGTAGAACTACCTCTCACCCCTTACTAAAATAATAACCGAAGCCATATTCTATATCTGAGAAAATTGAAGATGTTAGCGCAGAAGCCTGAATGTTGCTAGGATGCTCATTCTTATCACATTTCTATTTAATTATCCTACTTGACCAGTGCCAAAATCTGATGGGTCCGAGAGATTAGATGTGGACTATTATAAACTTATACAGTGGTGACACTAATCATACCTGTTAATTCCAGATGTGATTTATGATAATTATTGCAAATCAACACATTCCCTGTTTTTCAACTAATGAATTAGCAAAGGCTTTCAGTTAATTCAAGAGCCAAGAATAGAAATCCTCCAAGCCCTGGCCTAGGTGATAGTTTTGATTACAAGGAGACTAATGGAGACAAGTAAGAGTATACTTAGAATTCAAGACAATTTCTGGGCTGCCTTTTGCTATTTTTGTTCTGTTAAAGAACACCAAGTAAAACTTTCCAACACACCAAGGGCTGGCTAAAAGTAAGGGGCACATGGAATGCTGCTAGAAGGACTCTGCGATTATCATCTTAGGTTTTAAGACAAAGGACAGATGTGGGGTTTGCAGCACTAATTATTTTTTATTATCTCCTGATTTTCCCTGCTTCTTTACTTGAAAACTACTGGGAATGATTGAATTAAAATCCTCCTTAAATGACACAAAGGCTTATGAGAGGTTTACATTTTCTCTTGGTTGTTGAGTTGATTTGCTTTCTACGTAAACAAAGGATAAGCATAGATTTTTTGCCCCTCAACTCTACCTGCTGTTAATCTCTGATCTTCTCTGTTTTCTGGGAGTTTCCCCTCTATGAACCTTATTATCCAGGCTTCCTTTTACCCTCTAATGTCTGGTTGGTTTTGACCAAGCGGAGGCACAAGGATGAAATTAAAGGGAGGAAGGAGGTAGAGCTAATAGTATTTCTCCACCTCCATTTCTTTCTACCTGGCCACTGCTTTTGCCCCGGCCTTCTCTTCTTTCTATGGTTACATCTCTTACTGAGAAGACCTCCCTCAGTGCTAAAGCTCCTGTTACCATCCAAGATGAAGTGACAATGAGAGGAAATTTTGATAAAAAAAAATTTGGATATTTCTTATCAGAGTGTGTTTGACCATCCCTTGTGGGTTCCCTTAATTTTGACTACAACAGGTCAACTTTGCCAGAACACTGACTGATGCAACATTAAGTTGAAAACAGCATTTCATTTAGAGGCTATAATGTACGATGTTCAAGGACTCTTTGAGGAGATTCAGATAAGGCATTGTAAAAAAATGTGACATAGAGGTGGTGATTTTAGAGTGACACTGACAAATATATAAAATGATCTCTGTTCAAAAAATGGAAGAAAATATAAAAATACATTTTCCTATAAAGTTTTCCAATATCATTTTCAATGTTAATTTAATTACTTTGGAAAAACCTTCAACATGAAAATTTTAGAACACGTTTTAGGAAATAAATAAGTAAATTTAAAAAATTCATAATAAAACAAAAAAGCCTAATTTCTAGTACGTGTAGTAATCAAGGCTCCATACAAATTTTTTAATTAGTTTTGATGATTCAATATTAATTCAATGTCCCTAAAGAATGTATAGCTCTTCCTCATAAATGTACCAGAAAACAAATAAACCCTCCTGGCAATACTAAGCATGACTATATAACAACCTCGCAGTAAAAAGTAAATAATACAGACACACAATTTTGTCCTGTATCTTCAACAAACTCTGTTTTTAAATTTAATCTTGACAAATTCCATTTTGTAATTTTTCTGTGACATAAGGGTAGCCGAATTTACTTGACAATTTTTTCTTCTCTAAAGTTTCGTGAATAATTATTATGAAACTTTTGTACATGTAATCACTCAAGGAGCTAGTTTAAAATACCACTTCCTGGGCTTCACCCCAAGAAAATCTGATGGAATGGATACTGAAATTTTGAAAATCTGCCTCTAACACTAGGTAGTTTATTCCCACGAAAAAACATTGCTATAGTCAGCAAATTAAATATTTAGGATAAAATGTAAAATGTCATACAAATTCTAAGAATAGGTAAGAAGTAGATAAACAAAAGGTAAGAAGAAAGAATTGGTCACAGACATCCAGTATATACAGATTTTGAGAGTTGGAGATTTACTATCCTTGAATATTGTCCTGCGTACACATAGAAGCACAGACTGTATTTATATAGCCATTCCCCAGTTTGTCTACTTGGTTCCATAATTTCTATCATGGGAAACATAATTACTGGTTTTAATAGATTCTAATGTATTATAATCTCCCTCCATAATCGGTTCCTAAAAATATCTTTTTTCTGAAGTTTAGTGTCAACTTTTTGTTTTATTAAAATTTAACTTTGTAACTCTTAGACAAAAATAGCTACATTTGTAACAACACAATCATTATGCTTTTACGATATATTTCCTTCGCTGTTTAAAAAGCACTTTTATGCACACTATCCCATTTGATACTAATATGTACTTGCTTATTAATCATCCACCGACACACAATTACATAATTATTATAAATAAATCTTATTGTTCCAGTGGCTAAGCAAGAATGAAAGAAGTAAGACAAACAAATATAAAACTCTAAAGGAGACAGTAACAGATCAATTTTTAGTCATTTGCCTTTCCTAAGTTTATGAAAAAGATATGTGATGTGTATATACATATAAACACATTTGTATAATTTAATTCTTTCAATAGGAGTTGAAAGAATGCAGTTGCTGCCTACAGAGGAGAATTTACAAAATGATCAGAAAAAGTATCCTGAAAAATGCTGTTTATGTCTCTAAGAATTGTTTATCCTTCCAATATTGGCAGAACACCTACAGCTTAGAGACTGCTTTTAATAATTTTGTACACTTATAGGCTGTCAAAAAAAGAGGAAAAATCAATCTCTTCAAAAAGTTTTATAAAATGGTCACTTGCTTTTTGAAATAGAATACAAAACAACAACAAAAAGTAGGCCTTACTTTCTAGCCAGGGCAATCAATGGCAATAAATGAAGCAAAACACAAAAATGTGATAATTCTCATTCTGAGAATAGAGAGAAGTTTGATGAAGTATGGATTCATTCAGGAGGGATGAATTAAGAAAATAATCATTGAAGTATAGAGTCTAAATTTAAAGATGCAGGTAGAAATTTAATAAAGGAAACTAAGGTATATCCTTCAGGATGAAATAAATTGTATGAACAAAATAAAATCAAATAGAAAGTAAAAAGGAAATAAGGAAATACTTTAAAGAAGAACAATGTAATACATAGTTACAAAGAGAGAATATACATTGCTTTTCATAAAGAATTTATTCAGTTTATGAGTTGCAAAGACAACAAAGTCTTATTTCAAGTGAACACTTATTATGTATGTATCAGATTTCTATGGCAAAATTCCCCACAACTTAGAGTGTTCAAACTATTATATATTATTCCCTACGATTTTGTAGGTCGAGAACTCATTCATGCATCAGCTGGGTAGTTCTGCCTTAAATGGTTAATTCTCAGGCCATACATGGAGCTGCATTCAACTTGAAACTTGACTGGAGCTGGGTTTCCAAGAAGACCTCATTCATATGACTGGAAGTTGATGACAGCTGTGAACTTTAATTTTCCTCTGCATCATCTCTTTTTCTCTAGTGGTATATAGGTGGCTGTCCAATGGAAGTGACGAGGTCGCATAGGAGCTAGGCAAACAACAGGTGAACTGTCACTTCTACCAATTTTAATGGTCAAAGCAAATTCAATACAGGTATAAGAAAATTAGAAACCAACTCCTTTAAGCATAGTGGGGAGAGAAATCTTTAGCAGCTGCCTTTGGAGAATATTTACCATGGCACCTTAGAAATAGTGTGTTATAGATCTACTAGATCCAGTAGATAATCTTCTTTTTCTAAAAACTCTGAAATGATGCAAATCCCAAATTTGTTTAAAAATCCATCTGTAGTTGCATAAACTAAAAATTGGCAGGCGAAAAAATTGAATGCTATAAATACACTACTGCCATATGACTCCAGTCAACTTCAGCTGGTAACATAAAATAGCAACCAAACTATGTAAATTTAGTTGGAAACAGGTTGCTGTTTATGTGGATTGGAATTTCTGCCACAACTTTAGCAAATGTTTTACTGTTATTTTAATATTCTTCTTATAAGTTAAAATCTTCTTTCTACTCTATAGTAGCAATTCACTAATCTAATGCTGAAAATACACCCCCAAATTTATAAACTTTAGAATATGTCAGATGTGATAATATATTATAAACAGGGTCAATTATTATTATATCAGAGAATGTGAATGACAATGTAGACATTTTTAATAAAATGAAAAGTGACTATAAATTTTTTAAAAATCTTCTGCAATAGTTTAGGATTTATAAACTAAGGACACTCTCCTTTTCCGACTTTTCCTTACATACTTTAGTTTTATTTTTGTGGAAAATTTGATTCAAAATAGAGTAACCATGTTTCTTTTGTACATGCATGTGAATACCCTGTATTATAACAGAAGGAAAAACTTAAAACCACAGTCTGGTCAGCCAATGTCAAATACAAGAATATTCCATTTTCTAATTTTTTTCTTATGTTGCCTTATCATGCAAGATAAGTGTATTTAATGAATATGAAGTAGAGCCCCACATAAAATGGATAAACCTCAGGAATAAGTATGTAAATACATCAATAAATAATTTTCACTTTTTGGGTGAACACACTAGGGATAAATGAGTTAGCAGTTCAGAAGCACACATATACAAGAAGATTCAATTCAGTGGTCATGCAAACATTGTGACATTGTGTGTTAATTTGATACACTGAACTCAGACTACACACAACTATTTACTTAAAACTACACAAAACAAAACAAAAACACCTAACCAGTCAAGGCATAGTCTAAAAGAGTTCCTTAATATTATAAGTATTGCCATTTATATCTGGAAGCAGAAAACTAGACTGTGAAATCACTGAATCTCAGAAACAAAGGTAACAGATTTGAGAGGCAATAATGAGAGGAAGTAACATGCCTTCCTTTATGTTCATTATATGGAGACAAATCTGTTTTTCTGTGAAAAACCTCTTTTAGAGTAAACTTGATCAGCATACTTGCAACAGATTATACAATAGTCAAATAAAGACTTCTCAGGCTATGTTAAAGAGATAAGACTTTTATCCTGAAGGTGGTGTGGAGACTTTAAAGGTTTTTACAAGAAAAGTGACAAGATTTAAAAGGTAACAGTGGCAGTAGTGTGAATAAAAATAGATAAAGTAGTTCCAGGATATTACAGTAAAAATTCATCACAAAAGTTACAGAGAAATAGAAAGAAATGAATGGAAGTGATAATAGAAGAGATGAAAAAGAATAAATTAATCTGAGATTTATATGGTAGGATTTTAAAAATCAATGGTTTATTTAATTAGAAAAGAGAGAGAGAAGGAGAAGAGTCCAGTTTGTTACATTTGGATGAAAATGTCATTAATCAAGATTCATAAAAAAGGAGAAAAAATACTAGCAGGTGGATGAGTCCATTTTTGAAAATAGAGAATATTTTGAAAAGAGAAATAAGTTATCTTAATTTTCTTTTTAACAACAAAAATAAGTTTTTATTCTAAATAAATATCAAAACATAAGATCAGAATCATTACATTTTATTTCAATGTTTATTGTGGGGGGATTAATTTATTCACATAATAACACATACTGAATAGTGCACTATGTATTTCTACTGACTTATATTTCTACCATTATATAATTGGCATAATTTCAGCTGATTCTAAGAAGTTATTACTACTCTTTGACTTGTTTATTTCTACAACCTAGAACAAATAAATTGCTAACTCTAACATATTTGTTTCTAAACATAATATGAATTTTATTTCTTCAGCCAACGAAAGCTGTAATTGAAAAAATAAATGTACTCACTCATTTTGTTCTGTGTTTCATTGAATATGTTCTCATTGATCTTGTTTAAAATAAACTTACTAGTATATAAAATGCATAATTATTCTAGATAGTAAAAAATAACACAGGCTACCATAGAAAAGAAGTGATAAAAATTGGGGAATCAATAAATTACTCAAAATGAAAATTGAGAGAAAAATAAAAAGTTTGATAAATAGCCAAAAGCATTCTTATACATTTTGCAGCTTGTCTTCAAGGACATGTATAACATATTGCCTGATTTTCTCATCACTAAAAATAAAAATTTTACTACTATGGTAATAAGCTTGTCATAAAATAGAATGAAAATCTACTATTCTGTACTTTCTAAATGAGAATGTTCCTTTATTAAAATTTGCTCTTGAAATTTTGAGGTTACATAAAAATTAATTTTGAGTTTTGAACCACCATGTTTTGTATGAATTATGTCTTATTAAAATTTTCTAAATTGCTAAATTTAAACATATATAAATATTGTATGAATTTTTGCAGTAGCAAGTCTTCAAATTACATATTTAGAGTTTCAAGAGCATCTTTTTTCAGATGTATATTAGTTTCGACTTTTTAAATGTATACTTATTTTTCAAAGATAGATTGTACTCTTATGGAACATTATTTTTTAAATAATTTGATATTGTTTTAAACACTGTGATAGCTGCTGGATATAACAGTGTACGAAGAAGCAATGGTTTCTACCTCCAGAGATTAATGTTTTAATAACAAAACTGCATGTTTCTATGTAAGTGCCTAGAATGGAGATTCTATATGAAAATCCTCTCAGATGGAGTGATGCTGAAGCTAATATAGGACAAATGAGATAGAACACTAGAAGAAAAGAGAGGTGAGGTTTATTTTTATGCAAGAGAAAGATATACAAAAGCTTAGAGATAAGTAAGAACATCGTGGATTCAAAAACAAAAAAGAACAGGGCATGAGCTCACATGCCTGTAGACCCAGCTGTTAAGGAGGCTGAGCCAAGAGAATCATTTGAGCCCAGAGGCTGCAGTGAGCTATGATTGCCCCACTATACTCCAGTCTGAGATCCCAAATCTTAAAAAAAAAAATACATTAAAAAAAGAAAAAATATTTTCTACATAGCTAGGGCTTGGAATGTAAGAGGAAGAATATCAAAATAGAAGAAAAAACATGAAGAGGAATTAGATATTAAACTGCCTCCTAAAATAGGTAAATGGGCTTAATCTTTACAGTAAAAGCAATCAAAACTCATCAAAAATGTTCAAACAGGAAAAAATAATTTTATATTTGCATAAAAATGAGATAACTTGCTGCAGTGTAGAAGACAACCACAAGCAAAAATAGGAGTACCAGAGTCTAATTCAAAGACCCTTTTAGTGGACAGAAATTGGAAGATTGTGGCAGAAACAGCATAGAGAAAAGTAAATGATTTAAATTAAGGATAAAATGTGAAAAATAAACAGAGTCAATTTTATAGTTGTAGTACTCAAGGCTGAGATTTTTCTTTATTCTGGATCTCTTCCTGTAAGAATACAAATAAACCACTTCTATCATGGATGACAGATTTATGTAACTTAAAATTTGCAAAAGTCAAACTTACTCTTGAGCCCCATTCCCACTATAGAAAGAAAAACATTTCTCAAGAAAATCAATCTACCCAGAGTTTTATCTAATATTAGAAAAAATTAGTACTTTTATTAAAAATGTTTATTTACCAGGAATTACCAATAAAATATAAATAAGAGCTGATCTCTCAGCAGAAACAATGCAAATAATGAGAGCGTAATAATATCATCATGATACTCAAAGAAAAAAATAAACTGCTGAACAAGAATACTGTATTCATCCAAGGTACCTTCAAAAATAAAAGCAAAATACTTTCCCGGAGAAATAAAAATGGAGAGAATTTGTCGTTAGCAGAATTGCCTTACATAAAATACTAAAGGATATTCTTCAGACTGAAAGCACATGATCCCAGGTAGTAGTTAGAACCTACATTAATAAACAAAGAGTGTTGCTAAAGTCATTTTTTAATTATAAAAGACACTATAAATACTCTTTATTCTCCTTTCTTCTATTAACCTATCTGAACAGTAATTGTATAGAAAAATATGTATATGTGCTATTGGACTTATAATATACAGAAATGTAATTCACATGTAATATATTTGCCAATAAAAGAACAAAGGAGTTGGGTGGGAACAACACTTTAATGAGCTAAAAACTGATTACAATTGGTAAAATAATTATAAAAATATATTGTTAGGCTTGTAACATTAATGAATATGGTATGTATAACAATAATATTACAAAAATGGGGAAAGGGAATAGAGCTATATTTTTATACCTTTTTCTGTTATTAATCTAGTATAAATCTAAAGTTCATAAGAATATCTTGAGATATATATTAAAAAACCCTACAGCAAGCTCTAGAAGTAAAAATATATAGAAAACTATAGTGAAGAAATCATTAATGAAATTTAAATGTTACATTAGAAAATATTCACTTAACACAAAACAAAGCAGTAAAAGATTAACAGAGGAGCAAAAAAGACATGAGACATGGAGCAAAGAAATAATAAAATGCAAATATAAATCCAACCATATTAATATTATTGTTACATTTGAATGGATTTAAAATTCCATTCAAAAGGCACAGATTGTCAGACTGGATAATATCAATGACCCAGCTATATGTTGTCTATAAATGACACACTTTAGATTCAAGGACATAGCTAGACTGAAATAAAAAGAAGGAAAGCAAAGCATAGCAAGCTAGCAGTAAACATAGGAGGCTAAAGTGTCTTCACTAAGATCACATGAAATAGACTTTAACAAAAAATGATAGTAGATATAAAAAGGGGTATTTTATAATGATAAAAAGGGTCAATTCATCAGAAAACTATAACAACTATAAGTATACATGCACCAAATAACAGAGTACCGAAATGCATGCAGCCAGACAGATAGAAATAAAGGGGAAAATAGGCAAGTAAAAAAATAATACTCGGAGACCAAAACACTTCACTTCCAATAATGGATAGAACACTAGACAAAAGATGAGCAAGAAATACAATACCTATACAACACTATAAACTAACAATAGCTAACAGATATTTATAGAACACTTAACTGAGAATTAGAATATATATTCCTTAAATAGTATGGGATATTTCCAGGATAGACAATATGGTACTTTATAAAACAGCTTCATTAAATAATTTAAAAATACAAGTGTGTTCTCTGATTGGAATAAAAGAAAAATAGAAATTAATGACATAAAAAATGGAAGAAACTCACACGCATTTAAAAATTAAACAACATACTCCTGAATAACTATTAGGTCAAAGAATAAAGAAAATGAGAAATCAAAAATGCATTGAAATGAATTAAAAGTAAGAAAAATCATACCAAAATTATGGAACACGACTACAACAGAGCTTTAAGAAAAATGTACAGCAATAAACAACTATATTAAGAAATAATAAATATCTTAACTCAATATCTTAACTTTCCACTATAAGACATTGACAATATAGCAAATTTTACCCAAAGCAAGGAAAATAAATTAAAAAATAAAGGTTTGAGCAGAAATTGAAGTAGAAAATATAAAACAATCAATGAATCCAAAACTTATTTTAAAAAATTAACAAAATTAACAAACCTCTAACTAAATTGACCAAGGATAAAAGAATATTTACATTACTAGAACAGGAAATGAAAGAAGAGACTACTACTGATATTACAGAAATGCAAAGAAAAATAAAAATAATGATATAAGAATAAAAATTGGATACCATACATGAAATGAGAAATTTCATAAGAAGACACAAACTACCAAAGCAGACTCAAGAAGAAATAAGCAATCAGAATAGTACTATAACAATTGAAGTGATTTAGTTAGTGATCAACAAACGATCTACAACAAAAGACCCAGGTAAACATGGCTTTATCTCTGAATTCTAACAAATGTTTAAAAAATAATGCAGACCAACTTTTTACTCATTCTTTAAAAAATGGAAAGAAAACAAAAACCTTTATAATTCACTCTATAAATCCAGCATTACCCAGATATCAATACCAAACACACACAACCCAAGAAAGGCAAATTAGAGACCAATGTCTGTTATGAATATGAATGCAAAAATTCTCAATAACATCCTAGCAAATCAAATACAGAAATGAGTGAAAACAATTTTATACCACGACCGAGTAGGATTTATCTCAAGGAGGTTTTGTAATATCTGAAAAATTAATTAATACATTATTTTAACAGAATAAAAACAAAACTTACATAATTGTCTCAACAAACGCAGAAATAATATTTGAAAAAGTTGACCACTTTTTCATAATTAAAAAAAACCTCTTAGCTAACAAAGAGTATAAGGAAATTCCCTCAAACTGAAAAAAGTCATATATGGAAAGTTCTTAGATGTTATCACAGATAATGATAAGAGACAAAATGCTCTTTTCCTAAGATCAGGAGCAAAAAAAGAATGTTTATTCTTGCCATTTATGTTCAACATTCAGCTGATAGTAAAAAAAAATGAAATAAAAGACATCTAGATTTGACATGAAGAAGTAAAACTATCACTATTTGCAGATAACGTGATCTTGTATGTCGGGAAACCTAATTAATACACTAAAAACTATTAGAATTAATGAGTTCAGCAACATTTCACAAGACTAATACATAAAATTCAGTTGTATTTTATACACTTGCAGTGAGTAATCTAGAAATAAATTAAGAAAACATGCCTTTTGAAGTAGACTATAAAAGAATAAAGTACTTAGAAATAAACTTAGCAAAAGAAGTGCAAAACTTATACCCTGAAAATATAAAACAGTGTTTAAATAATTAAAGAAGATCTAAGTAAATTGGAAAATATCCCATGTTCATGGATGAAAGCCTTAACATTGTTAACACGGCAATATTCCCCAAGATAATATATAGATACAACAAATCTCTATTTAAATATAATAACTACTTTGTAAAGATTGATAAGCTGATTCTAAAACTCAGCTTATTGTAATTGCAAAGGATGCAAATTAGCCAAATCAACTCTGAAAAAGAAACAGGTAGGAGAATCTATACTTACCAATTTTATGACTTAGTACAAAGCAGTGGTAACTGAGAGTGTGGTAGAGCACAAGTGTAAACATACAGATCAATCAAATAAAATCGTGAGTCTAAAAAGGCTCATACACCTGACATTTAAAACATGTGGCAAGACCATTCAATGGGGAAATAATAGTCTGTTAAACAAATAGTCATGGGACGACTGGATAGACAGTTGCAAAAGAATGAAGTGGGATTCCCATCTCACACTCTTTATAAAACATGAACTCAAAATGTACCAAAGATCTAAATAAGTGTAAAAAATAAAAATTTGGAAGAAAATACAGGTGCTATTCTTTATGACAAGCAGAAAGACGAGCCTGATAAATTAAACCTTAACAAAATAAAAATTTTTTGTTCTTCAAAGAACATCAAGAAGATGAAAAGGCAGGCCATAGAGTGGGAGAAAATATGTTTAAGTTATATATGTATTAAGGGATTTGTATCCAGAATAAAGAACTCTTTAAAGTCGATATTAGGTAAATAAAGATGTTAAAAATAAGCACAAGTTCTGAATAGATATTTTTCCAAGGAAGATGTAAAAATGGCCAATAAGCACATGAAAAGATGCTTGCCATCTTTAGTCATCAGGGAAATGAAAGTCAAAACCACAATGAATTGTCACTTTACACACACTGCAATGGCTAGAATCAACAAGGTAGAGAACAACCGTTGTCAAGGATGTGCAGAAATTGCAACCCTCATATACTTCTGGTGGTATTTGAAGATGGTGCAGATAGCTGCACCATCTTGATGAAACAGGGTGTCAGTTTCTTTCTCTTCAGTCGCTCTCATTATTCTTATCCTACTGACCATTCTTGAATTCTCCATAGCCCTTATTGAGGCTTATGTCTTCACACTACTAGTAAGCCTTTATCTGTATGATAATACATAATGACCCACCAAACACATGCCTACCATGTAGTCAAACCCAGCCCCTGAGCACTAACAGGAGCCCTCTCAGCCCTCCTAATAATATCTGACCTGGCCATGTGATTTCACTTTAACTCTATTACTCTTTTCACCCTAGGCCTACTAACCAACACACTGACTATATACCAATAATGATGTGACATTATCCGAGAAAGTACATTTCAAGGCCACCATACAACAATTGTCCAGAAAGGCCTCTGGTATGGAATAATTCTGTCTGTTATCTCAGGAGTATTATTCTTTGCTGGTTTCTTCTGTGAATTCTACCACTCTAGTCTAACCCCAACTCTAGAATTAGGGGGACATTGACCCCCAACAGGCATTTTTCCCCTTAACCCCTTAGAAGTATCTCTCCTGAATACATCTGTATTACTTGCATCAGGAGCTTCAATTATTTGGATTCACCACACCACAGAAGGTAGTCAAAAGCAGATAATTCAAGCAGTATCCAACACAATTACCTTAGGTATTTACTTCACCCTCCTACAAATCTCAGAATGCTTCCAGGCCCCCTTTACTACCTCTGATGGAATCTATGGCTCAACATTCTTCATAGCCACAGGCTTTCATGGACTTCACGTTATTATTGGATCAACATTTCTCACTGTCTGCCACCTCCGCCAACTAAAATTCCATTTTACATCCAACCACCACTTTGGCTTTGAAGCCACCTCCCGATATTGACACTTTGTTGATGTAGCATGACTATTCTTATACGTCTCTGTCTATTGATGAGGAGCCTACTCTTTTAGTATAAACAGTACCATTGACTTCCAATCAATTAGTTTTGCTAATATCTGAAAGAGAGTAATTAACCTGACACTAGCCCTAGTAACCAATACCTTACTGGTCTTATTACTAACAATAATTACATTTTGACTCCCACAACTTAATATTTATATAGAAAAATCCAGCCCCTACGAATGCGGATTTGACCAAATAACCTCCCCCCACCTCCCCTTTTTGATAAAATTCTTCCCAGTAGCCATCACATTTCTCCTCTTCAACTTGGAAATCGCCCTACTACTACCCTGCCATGAGCCCTTCAAACAAACAACTCGACACTAATAATCAACATAGCCCTTATACTAGTTACCATTTTAATCCTAGGCTTGACTTATCAATGAGCCCAAAAAAGGAGTAGATTGAGTTGAACTGGTAAATCATTTAAGTCAAAATAAATGATTTCAACTCATTAGATTATGATAGACCACATTTACCAAATGCCCTCTATTTACATCAATATTATATTAGCATACACCATATCACTGCTGGGAATATTAGCCTACTGATCCCACCTAATATCATCCCTATTATGCCTAGAAGCCATAATACTATCAATATTCATCATAAAATACCCTTAAAACTTTAAACATATATTTTGCTCTAGTATCCATAATACCCATCATCCTTCTAGTATTTGCTGCCTGCAAAGCCACAGTGGGCCTTGCCTTACTAGTTTTAATCTCCAACACATATGGCCTAGATTATGTACAAAATCTAAATTTATTTCAATGCTAAAAATTATTATATGTACCCTAGAAATTAAAGTATAATAAATATATATACATAAATTATTCCAACAATTATACTATTACCAATGACATGATTCTCTAAAAATTATATAATCTGAATCCACATGACTAACTACAGCCTACTCATCAGCCTCATTACCCTACTATTTTTTAACCAATTCAATGATAACTCACCTAACTTCTCATTAATCTTCTCTTCTGATCCAGAAGATAAACCCTTTACTCCCTATATTTGCTAATCACAACACAACGAGGAACACTTGTATATTACATTAATAATATTAAACCTTCTTTTACACGAGAAGATACATTAATACTTATACATTTTGCACCTATCTTCCTATTATCCTTAAACCCTAAAATTATTATGGGGTTTGCATGCTATAGCTATAGTTTAACAAAAACATTAGATTGTGGATCTAATAATAGAAACCCGCAACTTCTTATCTACCAAGAAAGTGTGTAAGAACTGCTAACTCATGCCCCTATGGGCAGGAGTTACCTAGGCAAACAGGATGTCAGTTTCTTAAATGAATAAACTTAGAGATACTGTATGACTCAATATTTTTACTCTCTACATATGCACCCAACTGCAATGTAAATATGTGTTCACATAGAAAGTTGTATATGAATGTTTGTAGCAATGTTACTCATACTAGCCATATGTTAGAAACAATCCAAATGACTACTAGAAAATGAATAGATTAACAAAATTGGTACAGTTACCAAAGAAACCACATATTATATAATTCCATTTATATGAAAACCCAGAATATGAAAATATATAGAAACAGTAGATTAGTAGTTGTTTAAGGTTGAATGTGAGGACAAGGATTACGATACTGGAAGTGGGGTTGATAGTTAAAGGATATAAGGTTTCATTTGAGGTGATGAAAATATTTTAAAATTGACTGTAGTGATAGTTGCACTTATCTATGAATATACAAAGAACCATTGAATTGTATACCCTAAATGAGTAAACTCTACAGTACATGAATTATATTCAATAAAACTTTAAAAAATGAAAAAAAAATCAAGCTAACAGAGTTTTAAAATCTATGATTATCCCAATAAATACAAAGTTTTTGTAATTCAATATCTATTCTTGATAATAAATCTCAGTAAACTAGAAGTAGAGAACTTCCTCAATCTGGTAAGGAAAAGCTATGGAAAAGTTTTACTACTGTGGTATTTAATGGCTATATCCTAAGCACTTTCTCCTTACTATTAGATATAAGGCAAGCATATATACTTTCACCACTTCTCTTTCACATTTTCCTGGAGTATTAGCCTTAAGAGTAATTCAAAAAAATAATTTTAAATATACATGGAAAGATAAGAAAGGAAGAAGTGAAACTGTCTCTATTTTCAAATGACATGATTGTTTACATAAAAATGTAAAGCATTTTTTAAAAGTATTACATTTAATGTGATTTTAAACAAGATTATGAGTTGCAAGATCAATATAAACAAATAGAACATATTTTTATATATTAGCAAACAACTGAAATATTTTTAAATCTATGTATAATAGCATTAAAATATAAAATACTGAGGACATCATAACAATGACATAATTATAACAATGCATAAAACTTCTACTGTGAAAACTATAAAACATTGATAAGTTAAAGAAGACCAATTTATTAAGTCAGTTGAAGAATATTACGTTGTTAAAATGTTGCTCTCTCTAAATTGATGCACAGATCCAATAAAATTTCAATAATAATTTCAGGAGATTTTAAAAATAGATACTGACAAATGGATCCTAAAATTTATAAGGAGTAGAAAAAAAAATCCTATTTTAGCCAAAACTATTTTTGAAAAGAAAAAGATTAGAGAATTTATATTACATGACTTGAAAACTTATTTAAAAAAAAACTACTATAATGAAGACTGTGGTATTGTCATAAAGATAGAAAAATAGAACAATAGAATAGAATTTTAAAAATAGAATTAGGGACATGTACATGTGTCATTTATAAAGACAGTGTTAAAACAGTTCCATAGAAAATTGAAAGACTTTCTACAAATGGGACTGAAAACCACTGTACATTATTACAGGTAAAAAGAGCCTTATTAGTTTCAGAAATTGATTCAAATGGATGGAATATGGATCTAACCCTAATGGTTAAATTATAAACCTTTCAAAATACAAATGTCTTCGTGACCAAGCAGGTGCCTTAGTAAGCTCAGGCTGCTATAACAAGGCATAGACTAGGTGGCTTATAAACAACAGAAATTTATTTCTTATAAATCTAGAGGCAGGAAGCCCTAGGTAAGGGTGCCAGCATGGTAGGGTTTGGGTGAGCGCCCTCTTCCAAGGTGCAGACTGCCATCTTCTCCTTGTATCTTCATGTGGTAGAAAGACAATGAAAGAGCTCTCTGAGTATCTTTTCATAAGGCCACTTAATACCATTCATGAGCGTTCCAGCTTCATGATGTAATTACCTCCCAAAAAAGCTACTTCCTAATTCAGTCATATTGTGGGGCTAAGATTTAAATATATGAGTGGTGAGAGAGGGCATCCCTGTCTTGTGCCAGTTTTCAAAGGGAATGCTTCCAGTTTTTGCCCATTCAGTATGATATTGGCTGTGGGTTTGTCATAAATAGCTCATCACCACTCCTATTCTACATAGTGTTGGAAGTTCTGACCAGGGCAATCAGGCAGGAGAAAGAAATAAAGGGTATTCAATTAGGAAAAGAGGAAGTCAAATTGTCCCTGTTTGCAGATGACATGATTGTATATCTAGAAAACTCCATCATCTCAGCCCAAAATCTCCTTAAGCTGATAAGCAACTTCAGCAAAGTCTCAGGATACAAAATCAATGTGCAAAAATCACAAGCATTCTTATACACCAATAACAGACAGAGAGCCAAATCATGAGTGAACTCCCATTCACAATTGCTTCAAAGAGAATAAAATACCTAGGAATCCAACTTAAAAGGGATGTGAAGGACCTCTTCAAGGAGAACTACAAACCACTGCTCAACGAAAGAAAAGAGGACACAAACAAATGGAAGAACATTCCATGCTTATGGATAGGAAGAATCAATATCGTGAAAATGGCCATACTGCCCAAGGTAATTTATAGATTCAATGCCATCCCCATCAAGCTACCAATGACTTTCTTCACAGAATTGGGAAAAACTACTTTAAAGTTCATATGGAACCAAAAAAGAGCCCACATTTCCAAGACAATCCTAAGCCAAAAGAACAAAGCTGGAGGCATCACACTACCTGACTTCAAACTGTACTACAAGGCTACAGTAACCAAAACAGCATGGTACTGGTACCAAAACAGGGATATAGACCAATGGAACAGAACAGAGCCCTCAGAAATAATACCACACATCTACAACCATCTGATCTTTGACAAACCTGACAAAAACAAGAAATGGGGAAAGGATTCCCTATTTAATAAATGGTGCTGGGAAAACTGGCTAGCCATATGTAGAAAACTGAAACTGGATCCCTTCCTTACACCTTATACAAAAATTAATTCAAGATAGATTAAAGACTTAAATGTTAGACTGAAAACCATAAAAACCCTAGAAGAAAACCTAGGCAATACCATTCAGGACATAGGCATGGGCAAGGACTTCATGTCTAAAACACCAAAAGCAATGGCAACAAAAGCCAAAATTCACAAATGGGATCTAATTAAACTAAGGAGTTTCTGCACAGCAAAAGAAACTACCATCAGAGTGAACAGGCAACCTACAGAATGGGAGAAAAATTTTGCAATCAACTCATCTGACAAAAGGCGAATATCCAGAATCTACCAAGAACTCAAACAAATTTACAAGAAAAAACAAACAACTCCATCAACAAGTGGGCAAAGGATATGAATAGAAACTTCCGTAAAGAAGACATTTATGCAGCCAACAGTCATGTGAAAAAATGCTCATCATCATTGGCCATCAGAGAAATGCAAATCAAAACCACAATGAGATCCCATCTCACACCAGTTAGAATGGCGATCATTAAAAAGTCAGGAAACAACAGGTGCTGGAGAGGAAGTGGAGAAATAGAAACAATTTTTCACTGTTGGTGGGACTGTAAACTAGTTCAACCATTGTGGAAGAGAGTGTGGCGATTCCTCAAGGATCTAGAACTAGAAATACCATTGGACCCAGCCATCCCATTACTGGGTATATACCCAAAGGAGTATATATCATGCTGCTATAAAGGCACATGCACACATATGTTTATTGCGGCACTATTCACAATAGCAAAGACTTGGAACCAACCCAAATGTCTATCAATGATAGACTGGATTAAGAAAATGTGGCACATATGCACCATGGAATACTATGCAGCCATAAAAAAGGATGAGTTCATGTCCTTTGTTGGGACATGGATGAAGCTGGACACCATCATTCTTAGCAAACTATCGCAAGGACAAAAAACCAAACACCGCATGTTCTCACTCATAGGTGGGAATTGAACAATGAGAACACTTGGACACAGGAAGGAAAACATCACACACTGGGGCCTGTTGTAGGGTGGGGGAGGGGGGATGGAAAGTATTAGGAGATATACCTAATGTAAATGACGAGTTAATGGGTGCAGCACACTAACATGGCACATGTATACATATGTAACAAAGCTGCACGTTGTGCACATGTACCCTAGAACTTAAAGTATAATTAAAAAAAAAAAGATTTAAATATATGAGGAGGGTCTTTCCTTCTTTCTTTCTGCATCTTTCTTTCTTTCTTTCTTTCTTTCTTTCTTTCTTTCTTTCTTTCTTTCTTTCTTTCTTGTTGTTTTGTTTTGTTTTTAGATGGAGTCTTGCTCTGTCACACAGGCTGGAGTGCAGTGGCACGATCTCGGTTCACTGCAACTTCTGCCTCCCAGGAGGCCTCAGCCTTCCTAGTAGCTGGGATTACAGGTGCCTGCCACCACACCCGGCTAATTTTTTAATTATATTTAGTAGAGTCAGGTTTTGTCATGTTGGCCACACAAGTCTCAAACTTCTAACCTCAAGTGATCTGCCCACTTTGGCCTCCCAAAGTGCTAGGATTACAGGCGTGAGCCACGAAGCCCGGCCTAAATGTATGAGTTTTGAGGGGACGCAAATAGTGAGTAAGAATTTATTAGACAGGACACATAAAGCAATAATCATAAAAAAAGAATTAAACTTATTGAAATTAAATCTTCATTGAAGGACATCACTGAGAAAATGGATAAAAATATAAAAATATATCTGATAAAGAACTAGTATGAGGAATGTATAAAAAAATCCTACACATAAATTTTAAAAAGGAAATAGTTGTACAAAAAGCTTGACATTTCACAAACGATAATACAAATAAGTCCGATAATCAATTAAAAAGTGCTTTTTATCATTATTAGTCATCAGGAAAATGCAAATATAAAATTATAATGAGATATTATACACTACTAGTAGAATGACTCAAATTAAAATGATTATAAATAAAAATATTAAGGATGTAGAATAACCATAATCCTTACACATTGCTGATTGAAAGTTTAAACTCTATAACCACTTTAGAGAATCTTTTGGCAGTTTCTTATAAAGTTAAGCTTGCACCTACTCTTTGACTCAGCAATTCTACTTCTGGATATCCAAGAAAAATAAATACCTATATAGACAAAATGATGTGTATAGAAATAGTCATATGTTCATAACTGGAAATAACTCAAATAAATATCAATAGGGCAAATGCATAAACAATATTTATTATATCCAGGCAATAGAATACTACTGAGTACTTAAAAAATACTGATACACAACCTCATGAATGAATCTCATAAACATTATGCTCATGACAGGATATGATTGTATCTTTATTCAGATCTAAAATGAAAAAAATTAGTCTATGATAAAAACTAAATCAGAGTTGTGGTTTTTTCTGGTAGAGGACTTTACTACGAAGAAACTTAAAAAATATTTCTGAGAGAGGAAGAAAATGTGTGTGTGTGTTTGTGTGTGTGTGTGTGTTGTATATCTTAAGAAGATTAATTTTATTTGTCTAAATTCACTAAATTGTATATTTTGTATTTGCTTTTACACATATGCAAATTTACTGCAAACATATAATTTCAAATAACCAAAAAAATTAATAACTATATTTTAGGGTTTTTATGAAAATTAAAAAATTATTACCTCTAAAGCTTTTGGTAGAATAAACAAAACATAGTAAACTTGACAGATTTTAAATGAAGAGGAAAGATTAGAGTTACTTGCCTTTTAAAACTTTTCATTTAAACTTAGAATTCAGTGAAAAAGATTATTTTCCCTGAAGGACACGCAAGTCAGCAAAAAACTATAATAAAGTAAAAACATCTAAAAATTCAAGTCAAATATATAGACAACATAAATCTCTTAGGCTATGTCTATTCTGTATTCCTCTCTGGAGTCCTTCCATAGACAAAGCTAGTTATTTTAGAAATGCTAAATAAATTATTAATGCTTTATTATTTTCAATTAACAGGCTTTATATATTTTACAATGAAGTATAATATAAATTCCAATTTAAGCTTTAACCAAATACAAACACTGAAGACACTGCTTAACTATGTCTAAAAGTGATTTTTTATAGAATTGAAGTCATCAATGTTGTTTTTTGAAAAACAAATTTTCCTAACTATATTTCAAAATATGTCTTTGTTGAAACCAATTATTTCTAATTTTTTCAATATATACCACATATAGATACACAGATCCCCTATAACAAGAACATATATTCAAAGGAATATGTTATGTCACTATTCTTGGATGTTTAGCTTAAAACATATGGCTATACACTATGAAAAAAAACATAGCTGCAAGCTGTAAAAGTATAACAAATATTTTAGATGTTTCAGTGCAAAAATGACCAAAATAAAATTACTGTGTGATTGTTAAGATAAATGTAGTTAACCCCACACTATATCTTAATAAACGGAAAACAATAACGCCACAAATTTCATTTCAAACTTTACAAATTGCTGTCTCTATATTGTAGAAAAAGTACCTTTTCATTGTCATGACATACCATGCTTTATGTACAAAACTGAAGAAGCCATCAGCAAGGGAACATGTCTATTAAAAAAACTTCCTTAAAATACCCTAACACGCTTAACTTACATTATAAGAGTAATCAGAAGTAATGTTCTTGCATGAATTAACACACTTTATTACAATTTATAATAAAAATAATAAAATGGAAGGAAAAGGCATAAAGAGATATGATTCACATAAAACTACAAGGCACAGAAAATAACAACATTTTCTAGGTTTGACGCAGAGTTTTGAATTTCATTAGTACCATTCAAAAAATTTTATATCTAGCAGATTTTAAATAAGAAAAAGAAATACTGTTGTCATTTACAATTAGGCATTACAGCCTCTTTAAAACAGAATTCTGTGACAGGTGGACTATTATCAATAAATTTTCAGCAGACTGTGAACATCTACACAATTGTAAAGGTTTAAAAATTAACTAAATAAAGGACAAATACTTTCAAAGTCATAGATAAAAATAATTTTGTAAAGTTTCTTTAATTTCTTTAACAAAAACTGAAAACAAAAATTAATGTTAACTTTTAAGAGTTATCAAGACAAATATTAAATAATTGAGACAACTTATCTGCATAAGAATACCAAATCAGTTAATTATAAATTTGCCAAAATTATTCCTTTAAATGAAGTGAGAAATGAATTATAGAAATCACTTTAGTAGCTGGAGGGAGACAAGTTTGTCAAATCAAAACTCTAACCTTCATGAAATACCAGTGTTTCTTTAGCTGACACCTCTGACCTAACACAGTATCTGTTCTATTTCTCTTGTATTATTCATCCTCTATATCTCACTCTTTAAGACAGCCTTTGGATAGTCTACAGGAGACTAATCTCCAAATCATCTTTTGCAGGTAACAGCTGCTCTGGCAATCCAAACAGCTGTAGAAAGTGTAAACAATTGTCATCAAGTTGGGTTAATGAGAGTTTATAGCAATGTTCTAGAGAGTTACCAGCTGCAGCTTTTCGAGTTTTCTAATATCTCTTCATCACCAACCATTTTCTTGTGATGTGATCTCATTTATAAGATTTTTTTCTATGAATTCCTCTGAATTATAATATCTTTTAAAAACTCTTTCACTTAGATGTATAAAAAGACAGAATATTCTATATTTTCCAGTATTCTTCCCTTCTCCACAATAAGATCTCCAAATATTATAATCAACAAGGTGTTATTTTTGAAATAGAAAATAATGAATGAAAGTATGTCTCATGACACACACACACACACACACACACACACACACACACACACAAACTTTACTGTCCAATATCTATTTCTCATAAAAGCTCAGACTCAGAGGCAATGGAAAACAGTGGTATCTTCTTGTACATCTTTCCATACCACCTTTAAATATTAAATATTTCCTCAATTTAAATATTAGAAGCTTTATAATCTCTGTTATTTTTAGACAGGGTCTCAGTTTCTCACTTAGGCAGGTGTGCAGTTGTGCTATAACAGCTCACTGGATCCTTGACCTCTCGAACTCGAGCAATTCTGCCACCTCGGCCTCCCAATTAGCTGGGACCACAGGTGTGTGCCACCAAGCCCAGCTAATTTTTTTATTATTATTTTTACAGAAATAGCATCTCACTATGTTGTCCAGGCTGGACTCAAACTCCTAGGCTCAAAGAAGCTTCCTGCTACAGCCTCTTGAAGTGTTGGGATTATAGGTGTGAGCCACTACTCCAGTCTTTATGTTCTCTTATGCACAAATTTACATGTCTATTTTCCCACCTAAATTGCACTTGCATTTGCAATAAACTTGGCTAAATTTTAGCTGTTTCTTTAAATCTAATGTTACTATTATTTGATTTCTATTCAAAACCAGTAGAAATATAGCACCATTCTGATAATCTGTTTGCATTCATTTACCGTTGAATGAGTCACAATACGAGGTCCTATATTACTCAAGCATTTAGATTGCATATGCCTTGCATTATATTAATAGATAGTCAACATAAGTGACTATTGTATAGTATGACTTCCCAAACTAAAAGAAATAATCAGTGTCATATTGTACTTTAATTATAGTCTCTCTGGGGGCCTTTGCACTTGTCACAGGGAAAATACATTAGAGTAACAAAACTAAATGTCAAATGGTAGAGATCACTTTTCAGTAGGAAATGACACTTTGTTCTCTACAACAAAAGTTGTAAAGCGGAATTTTGGGTAACCAAAGATATATGGGGACCCAGTAGCCATTTACGTGTCTCATTTTGATGTTACAGAAACACTCACCTTCAGTTTTGATATTGAACATCATATTGATTCAAGTACTAGAGTACTAGTGCAAGTTAAAAGATTGAAAATCTATGAACAGTGAAATGAGGAATGTGGGAGGGTGGGAGAAAAATTGATGAGCAGTGCAGCAGAGAATTACAATACAATTTCCTATGGAAAAATTATTTGAGCTTAAAGGGATAAAGAGCTTTGTAAAAGTAAATGTTGAAAAAGAACGTTGCTTCTGCACATACAGACTTCTTCAAAAACTTCATTTCTGTTGGCTGGCAAAAACATTTATTTTGTGCTTTTGTAAAAACAAATCAACATTAAATGAATATTTCTTTCATAATAAGATTATACTCAGACAATGACCTTTCTGTCTGTCATTCTGTAACTAAGGTTGTGTGTACACCAGGAAGAGCTCAGAGCATATATTAGATGAAAAACCAAGAAATATACAGTGTTTGATATCACAGGAGGAATTTAACAGATACATAAGTATATATATATAATATATACTTATGTGTATATATATATAATATACTTACGTATATATACATAATATATACTTATGTATATATATACTAATATATATATTATATATATACATATATATAATTTTTCAGTGTTTGCCTGCAATTAGAACCTTCAATTTAGGAAAAGAGATATGTAATATGTAGTGTATAAAAAAATCACATATAAAAGATTTAAAATTGAAAAGAATTCGGGGGTATGCCAGTGATTTAAGGTACAATAGATTTAATTTCATAATTGAAGATTATTTTCTAGATTCATTTATGTAACTGAAATATCAGTTTACCTTTAGTCCAAAATAGTAAATTGAGTTATTTGCATTATTAAACACCTATTATTAAACATATCTTTAGCTTTTTATCATAAACATCATCATCCACTGATTACAGATGAGGCTATTTTATAGTTGGCACAGAACAATATCCAGAAGCCTCTGCTTATAAGTGCTTTTGCATTTTAATAAGGAAGAAAAGTAATTCAGATAAGGGTAGATTCTGTCCTAGGCATTCGTCATTACATATTTCCAGTTCTTATATCATTATACTGCATCATTCACCAGAGAACATTATTCTACATGCTAAATTGAGTGATGCACTAAAATGACAAAATTTTAATCTCCACTAAAATTTTAAGACATACAGCTATATTTGGCTGAGGAAGCTGTCAATGATTCATTTACAGATTTTTTCCCCAGCTGCAGTAAAGTTGTAGCCATTCCTTCAAGCCTATCATACATTAAAAAGAACAGTGCTTCAATTAATTCAATTTCCAGGAGAAGGAGCTGGAAATAAAATTATTTGAACAGTATGTGGTTTGGTAAGTTAAGGGAAAAACTACCTTTTTATATTCAAAAATAAAACATTATTTTTATTTAAAATAAAAGGAATCTAATGATGCCATGTGTAGTGAAGTGTTATATCGATTTAGAAGTCAAAATATCAAATGTCACATGCATGGGAATTAGAAAGTACTAGTCCCAATGGTAATGGGGCATTTAGAATTGTACAAAACGTAAGTCATCTCTGTATTCATAATGACAAAGAAAAAAATGATACTTTTGTATATCCTTCTAAAGTTTTAATGCCATATCCATTCACTCCAGTCTTTATTGAATCCCCTCATGTGTATAATCTACTGCTTTCGAACCACTGAAGAATATTCATTTCTAAATTAGATGCAGAGCTTACTGTGTTTAAAATCAATTTAGAGAGACATATTCATTATTTTAGGTAGGTATGTCTTAACTCAAAGGAATACTATAAAGGTCAGGAAATAAGAGACTAATGTCAGCCATTTGAGTCTAGAAAAAAATCAGTAGCCAGAAACCTTTTATTGGAAGCTGATGGCTATGTATATCAGTTGATATAAAGGCTAAAGGGTGAAACCACTTCAGATTGAGTGAGAACAGAAATAATTATTTTGAGTTGAGGATAAGCATGATATATTAAGGCAAAATTAGACTACTGCCTTTCTGAAATAAATAATATGTGTTAAAGAACAGTGGGAAATGAGATGGGAGAATTAGGGGTTTGAATATGAGTAATATAAATAAATACTGTATTTCCTATATGATGATCAAATACATTACAAAGCATTATATACATGTTTTTGATTTTTAATTTTTATGGGTACACAGTAGATGAATATATTTATGGGATACATGAGATGTTTTGATACAGGCATGTAATGTGAGATAAGCACATCATGGAGAATGAAATATCCATCCCTTCAGGAATGTATCCTTTGTGTTACAAACAATCCAATTATAATGTTGTAGTTATTTTAAAATGTACAATGAAATTGTTTTTTAAGTATACTCACCCTATTATGCTAGCAAATACTAGGTCTTACTCATTCTTTCTGACTATATTTTTGTACTCACAAATCATCCTCATTTTCCCCCACTCCCACTGCCATTCCCGGGCTCTGGTAACCATCATTCTATTCTCTATCTTTGTGAGTTCAATTGTTTTAATTTTTAGTACACACAAATAAGTTAGAACATGCAAAACTTGTCATTCTGTGTCTGGCTTATTTTACTTAACATAATGACCCCCAATTCCATCCATGCTGTTGCAAATGACAGGATTTCATTCTGCTTTGTGGATGAATAGTACTCCATTGTGTATATGTACCACATTTTCTTCATCCTTTCACCTGCTGATGAACATTTAGATTGCTTCCAAATCTTGGCTGTTGTGAATAGTGCAGCAATAACATAGAACATATATCTCTGCAATATACTGGTTTCCTTTCTTTTGAGTACATAGCTAAGAATGAGATTAATGGATTATATGTTAGCTCTATTTTCAGTGTTTTAATTTAATTTAATTTTTTAAATTTTTCCCTCAAGTAGAGATTTTTTTTTTTTTTTGGAGCCTCCAAACTGTTCTCCATGGTGGTTGTACTTATTTACATTCCAACTAACAGTCTATGAGTGTTCTCTTTCCTCCACATCCTCCCAAATTTTATTATTGCTTATCCCTTGTATAAAAGTCAATTTAGCTAGGGTGAGATAAAATCTCATGGTAATTTTGATTTGCATTTCTCTAATAATAACTGATTTTAAGAACTTTTTCATATACCTGTTTTCCATTTGTATGTTTTCTTCTAACAATTAACTTTTCTGATCTTTTGCTCATTTTATTCAGATTATGAAATATTTCCTATTGAGTATTCGAGCTCCTTAAACACACAGGTTATTAATCCCTGGTCATATGGATAATTTTAAAATATTTTATTCCATTCTGTGAGTTGTCTCTTCACTATGTTGATTATTTCCTTTGTTATTTAGACGTTTTTTCACTTGACGTGTTTCCATTTGTCCATTTTTTGCTTTGGTTGCTTGTACTTCTGGGGTATTACTCAAGAAATCTTGGCCTAGTCCAATGTGCTGGAGAGATTCCTCGAAGTTTTCTCTCAGCAGCTTAATAGTTTGAGGTCTTAAATTTAAGTCTTTTGATTTGACTTTTGTATGTGGTGAGAGATAATGGTCTATTTTCATTCTTCTGCTTATGGATATCCAGTTTACCCAGCACCATTTATTGAAGAGATTATCCTTTATCCAATGTACTCTCTTGGCCTCTTAGTCAAAAATGAGTTCACTGTAGATATGTGGATTTATATCTGGGTTCTCTATTGTATTTTACTAGTCTATGTGTACAACTTGAACCTGGGAGGCTGCGGTTGCAGTGAGCCAAGATCACACCATTGCACTCCAGCCTGGGTGACAAGAGAGAAACTTCACCTCAAAAAACATTTATTGGGTACCTATTATATGTTATGCATTGTACTAGGATTTGGAGATACAAGCGTATTTGGAAGAGTCAAGGACACTCCTTCAAAGATTTGGTATTGTGGTAAGTGTTACAAAGGGGGAATTATATCAAGTTATCTTATGGGTTAGGCCTGTGATCAGAGGACTGCATATATACTTTTAAAATAACAATTTAGATTATTTTCTTCTAAGACTAAGCTATTATTTGCCAGTTTCACATGCCTTGAACAAATATGGGTGGCATACACAGAATAACTGAAAAAAGAACCAATAAAATATGAAATCTGCTGGTTTGACTTTTGGTTTTAATGCTTGAAATAAAAGAATATCCAGGAGGTGAGAAAAATAATTATATAATATAAATTTCATAGATCTCTAAAGCATGCATACAATTGTTTTATAGAACTGAATTCATAATCATGAAGGTGCTCTGCATCATATGAATAGTTATTTTTAAAAAGTTACTATCATCACTACATCTGAAAACTATTCAGCCTAACAATGTTAAGGTTTTAAAATTTACTAGTGTTTAAAATTTAAAGTAATTGCATATTTGTCTCACAAAGAGAAATGCTTGGCTTGTTAATTTCCAAAAAACAAATGTTCAAATGTGTCCAATCAACATCATAGAGGAATATTTCCACATAATAGTGAATGTAACCATCTCAATTATTTTATTACAGAAATATTAAAAAAGAGGAGCCAAAATGTTAAGTAACTTTAAAATGTGACTCGCCAAGTTTGATTATATTTAACCTGTTGAGTTAACAGAATACAGTAGGATTTAATTACAATAGCCAATCTTTTTTTTTTTTTTTAACTTTTATTTTAGGTTGAGGAGTGCATGTGCAGGTTTGTTACATGGGTAAATTGTGTGTCAGCAGCTTTGGTATACAGATTATTTTGTCACCCAGGTAATAAGCATAGTGACCAATAGGTAGTTTATCGATCTTTACCCTCCTCTCACCCTCCACCCTAAAGCAGGGTCCAGAGTCTGTTATTGCTTTCTTTGTGTTCATGTGTACTCAGTATTTAGCTCCCGCTTATAAGAGAGAACATGCAGTATTTGGTTTTCTGTTCTTCAATTAGTTATCTTAGGATAATGACCTCCAGCTCCATCCATGTTTCTGCAAAGAACGTGATCTCATTCTTTTCTATGGCTGCATAGTAGAATAGCCTATCTTACACAGCAAAAACTCTTAGATATAAATAGCACTATCATTATCAAATTCGATCTATTGTTAACAATTTACTCCATTAGGAAAATAAATATATTAAAATGCATACTTTAAATATTATCTTTTTAATTAAATCTTAATAGGTGCTCAACATTTTAAACACTCTCTATATCATCAACATTAAAATCCAATTATAATGCCACCTTACATTACAAAGTTTAAAAAGTGAAACGAAGCAAAACAAAGATTTAAGAATATGTTTTTTTAGTTATTTCTTCAACTAGCTTCCCTAGGCCACTTATAACTTATCTCAGCTTCTTCAATTTTCCTACTAAATTTTAATTCACAAGTTTATATTTATAGTTTATATTCCAGACAGCATTTTGTGCAGAGATGGAAACTTCTAGAATACTCATATTATTATTACTATTTTGTTTAAACTATTGTTCTCATACAGCAGTAGTCCTTCTCCTAAAGGGCTTTTATATGTGTATTTTCCACATGCTTTTTCTTTTGCTGGAAAATCCCCTGAAGTGTGCTATTTTAATTAGCCTCAAATTCTGCTGCTGTGATATGTTAAACCAGGGGTGGTTAAACTACAGCTCGATAACCTGATTTGGTACAGCCTATGAGCTAAAATGATGTTTACGTGTTGGAAAAGAATTTTATAAAATAACTATTTTGTGGCATGTGAAAATTCTAGTCTCTAGAAAGTTTCATTGTAACATAGCCAAATGGATTAATTATGTATTGTCTATTTCTTTGCTTAGCAAAGCAACAACAGCTGGGAGCTGGTTACTAGTCTTTGCTCTACTATGGCATAGTTAGATCATTGTAAATACACTAAATGGCCTCCAAAATCTGAACTATTTTCAATCTGATTCTTCCCAAAGAGAAAAAGCAAGCCATGATATTTAGAACTTATTCTATCTAGTTGAGATTTTTCAGCCTTCAACTTGTTATTATCTCCAGGAGAGGTTCTCCTGGTATCAGGGAACAGGAAAGACCACTTAAAATCCTGGGGGATCATATTCTATTTGAATCCTCCAGAGAACAACGGGGGAGCAAACACAAGCTCTGTCACTGGAGAGTCAACCAATATATGTAGAGCATGCTCTGTCTTTAAAAGAAATACTATATGTAATACATTATAAACTGAAATTATAACATATATGTATATTATAAAGTCTGTTAAATCCACTTCAGTCTATCCTAATTTTCTTATTTCAGGGCTCCCAGTATTAATCCATAAAAAGGGGTAAAAATCTTTGTGTTCTCCCTCATTTGGAAATTAAGCAGAACCCAAGAACATGTGCGTACATCTAGGTCCCGGCTGTTGCTTTGCTAATGGCTGTTGCTTTGCTAAGCCAAGAAAGAGAGTAGACAAAAAAGGCAAGAGCCACATAGTCAAACTCAAGGTGTCAGTTTCTAAATTCTACCTTTGCATACCACTGAAGATACACACACACACACACACATACACACACACACACACGTTATATATTTGTCTACCAAGGAGAATAAAAACAATAACCTTGACAAGGTGAGATAGAAGACACAGAATTCTCTCTACCACCCTTATCCCTCCTACTTTTCTATTCACAATTATGCCTTTCTCTTTATTCTTCAGGGCACATGTTGCTCACAATATGGTTAGCAGTTGCACATACATTCTGGAAGAGACAATTTTCACCAACAGCCTAACTCAGATTTCCACTTTGGGCTTTTCTAGAACATTAAGCTAGAAACACAAAAATGTCAATGATCTGAAATTCAGTAAAAACTAAATTTGTTTTTGGAGTAAATCATGGATGAACATGTCTAGACTTCTGAAGTCTCTCATATATTTTTTTGAATTCTGCTTAAATTTGGGGAAGACAGGATGTTAAAAAATGAATAATTTTATTTTTAAAAGCTCTACTGGATATTAATAATAAATATCAACATTGGCAGATACAGCAGCATGGACCTGAACACTTTACCAGAGGTGGGAAGTCATCTAATAATGATATTTCATCACTAAAGTGATATCGCAAGCTTTGGTGTAGATATTAACTAAGGAACCTGAAAATGTGTGTATGTATGTCACATTGTAGCCTAAAGAAATATTTTAGAGTAAACATGAGAGCTCTCTCTAAAGTCTCTCAGGATGAGGAGGTTTGTAAAATATTTGTAAAATAGTAGACAAATATTTTGAAGTCTTATAAATAACTGGACGCTGAATTAAAGAGATCCCACTGGTTTTGCTGTATAATAATATTCTTACCCCTATGGCAAAACAGCAAAGTTAGAAAAAAAATACCAAAAGAGCAAGAAAACAATTTTATAATACTGTTTTTGTTTTCATTTATTTTCAAACGTATCTGTTAAGGCAGTAGATATAAATGGATGTTAGTTTTAATCTAAGCCTTTGAGGAAGGTTGTGGCCCTAATGAGAAATACAACTCCAAAGGGTTTCAATGACCATGCACTAGAAGCAGCAAATACATTTCAGCTATCTGTACCATCAGGACAATGAAAGTCCAAATTAAACTCTTACTGGTAATATTTGTAGTGTTGGCTGGAAATATTTTGCAGTCATTCCCATAAGGATGTAAAGACCTCTTCAGGCTTTTTAAATCCAAAATGATACATACGGTGCTCCAGTTATATACTGCTAATGTATCAGTCTCATATATGACCTTCTCTGAATTACTGGAGTTGAAAGTCTGCAAACATTTCCAAAACTCCTTAGTTAGGTTTGTCCAGAAGAAAGTATGGTGTTTGGAAGATGAGACTATCCAATGATGGGCATATAGATGTAAGATATTCTTTTCTTTATCTTTATCTCTCTCTCTATATATATATATTTTTTTTTTCTTACTTCCCAGTAGCACTTCTGGAAGCGGCTATGTTTGTAAGACCCTCCTTTGTGATTCCAACAACATGCAAAGAACAACTCAGCAGTTTGTTCAGTAGCGAATATACTCCAGGGCTCTGATACTTCTCCGTTTTGGTTTACTCCAGCCCTAGTGATTATAGCCTTTGGTAACTGCTATTTATAAGCACTTATCTCTGTGAATAAATCTTTTTTCAATTTTCCTTGCAGTATCATTCTGTCTTCCTTTTGCTCTTCTACCATTTATAATATATACATAACCAATTTCTAACATAAAATTATCTGTTTAAAATAGAATCACGTTTCTGTTTTTCTGACTCTACCCTGACTGATAGACCAGGACTGTATCCTTGATGTGCTTATCCAGCCATTGAGTCCAGAGGGTCCTTGATCAATTGACTCCAACTAGATATGTAGCTAAATCCTAATAGTAATAGTTGATTGCAGGTACCCTAAGTGAACCTTTTTGGAAGATAATATTGGCACCTGTGGTAGTTAACTTTATGGGTTACTTGGCTAGTCTATGGTGCCCAGTTTTTGGGTCAAACACTAGTCTGAATGGTGCTAAGAGGATATTTTGTAGACATGATTAACATTTCCAATCATTTGACTTTAAGTAAAACTATGTCAATAATGTAGGTGGGCCTCACCCAATTAGTTGAAGTGCTTTAAGAGTAAAAACTGACGTTTCCAAGATGAGAAGGAATTCTGACTTAAGAAAGACAATAATATGCAAATATTGCCTGAGTTTCCAGCCTGCTGGCTTCCCTACAGATTTTAATCTTGCCAGCCCTCATAGAGCATGAGCCAAATTCTTCACGTATGTCTTACGTATATGTATATGGTGTCTTTGATGATGCAAACAAGGCTAGGGGGCATGGGAAGTTGTGACTGGAGGCAAGAATGGTATCACTGGAAGCTGTAGAGTGGGGAAAGAAACAGCTATAGCAGGATCCTGAAGATATGATTAGACATTCTGAGTTTTTTCTTAGGAACCAACAGTGGAAAATGATAGATGGTTTTTGAACCTAGAAATGCAAACATGGAATTTATGTTTTAAGGTATTCCTTCCAACTTCTTGATGGAAAAAATTGGGATAAAGAGATGCTGCAGAATACTGCAGAATGGAAAATAACAATGACTTGTCCTGGAGATGATTAGTTTCTGAAAAGATACACATATGCATGTATGCATGCATACAAATACACATGTGCACATGTGCACACACCCACACATACACACAAACACATATACACAGAAATCTTGGAAATTTTAAGGAGAAAAACACAAAGGGACTTCTGGAAATCATGAAACCTGAATTCTGGTCCTTACTTTGCATTTATTAGCCACATGTCTTTGGAGAAATAAACCCATTTATGAAAAGAAAAACAAGAATTAGGTGAATATTAATAAGGCCTCTTCTAGTTCTACCACTAAAGACAATTTAATTTTTGAAGGATTTATTTTTTAGCCTGAAATTTTAAAAGGTCGACTAACTAAAGTTCTCCAGGGAAATCTACCACGAATACAAACATTTTCATGGTAATGGAGAATAAAAGTGTGTTCCATTCTGAGCAATACTGAGCTTTAAGACATGCAGCGGTTTGCTAATTAATAGATCATAGAAAAGAGATTTGAAAGCATAAAAGTTTAAACACATAAAAAACTACACACTTGGAATTTTTATAAAAGCTCTCACAAATAAATATTAAATAAAAAGTAAACTGATTTCTTTTCAAAAAATAAGAACGTATATAACATTTTATATATAAATATGAAATGCATCCAAAACGTAATGATATAAGGCAAAGTCAGAATAGATAGTTGTATACATTATGATTTGGGTTTTTTTTTTTTAGAGGAAGAATTGCATTATATTGGTCTAATTGTTGCTCTCATAGCCGGTAACTGAACTAGGAACAAAGTAGAATATACATTCATTGAAGGTAGGCTACCTGCAGAACTTTTTGGAATTTATTCCTGATTGGCATTTCTTTTTTAACCCATTTGCTGCCAAAAAATCTTAATTAAAGAAAGTCCACTCATCTGTAATTCTTATAAATAAAGCATAAGTCTCTGATTTACTTCAGGATTCTATACATTTTCCAGTAACTGTCAAAGAATTTTACAGACCCCTTTCAATCTAGAAAGTCACTGGCAGTTAATCTTCTTTTACAATTCTATGTAGAATATTACTATTAGATAACTGATAAAAATATTCAGAAAGGTACATGGTGGCTTAGTGAAATTTTATTAATTTTAAATTTCACTACCCAAGAAAGAAAAAAAGTGACATTTGGCATTCAGAAGCCGACTTGGAAATCACAAATAATCAGTGCATTCTCATGTTCAGCATTTTTAAAAATACAGAATATTAGAAAATTAATATCAGAGAAGCAACAGTAACCAAGAGCAAGACTACCTCATAATCTTGTCTGAGCGCAAAGAAACACAAGAACATTGTCCAAACCACAAAAATCATGAAACTAGCTAATGTAAATGGCTCCTGCTTCTTTATCATGACAACTTTAGTTTTTCTGACTTCTTGATCAAAATTTGGAATTCTCTCTAGTTCTTGACAGTATACAACATGTAGCAAACCTCCATTTTTATAAATGCTCATGAAAATTGCCTCACCAAAGCACAAGTTCAAATATTTGTCCTCTTACTGAGAAACACTATGGTTCTCTATGATGTGCAGTCTCCCACTTTCCAATAATACAATAAACTCAATTTTATCTGACTACAGGTATGTTCCTAGTGGTTTTTGAGAGAAGTAAAAGTTCCATCAATACGTCATTGCCATAGCTCAAGACCAATAACAGCATAAACATCTATAATCTAAGTGTTTCTTCCCAAATGACGCCACCATTCTTATAGTTGTATGGTCAACTTATAATGAATTTAGCATCAGTATTTTGGATTTATTTTGTTTTGTTTGTTTACAAAGAAATAAAGTCTTCTGTGACTTTTTTTCATCTGATCAGATCTCTACTGTTTATTAAAGACTTTTTCTCTAGTATTCCAATATCTGTTCCTATGGTTTGATCACTTGTCTTTTGTCTTGGGTGTTTTTATTTCTTGTTTGTTTTGTATTTTTTTAATCTATACATGGAAAAGGTGACAGAACAGATATAAAGATGATCAACTGTCTTGAAGCAGTCTTGGGATTGAGGAGTTCATGGATTCTCCTTAGAACAGACACCAGAAAATTTTGTCTTCTGTTCACCATTTGAAACCATATAAAATGCTTCTTTCTGAGTTTTGTCTTTAAGTCTCTGAAAATTTAGTTCTGTTTTTTTTTGTTTTGTTTTTTTTTTTTCTGCTCAGCATCAGGTCTTTTATTGGTCTTTGGTTAGGTTCCAGGGGCACAAGTTTGCATAAACATCATCCTTACCAACTATTGCAGTTCTTATTTGCCTTCTTAATGTGTTTCTTCCAGACCAATTACCTCCTTTTCCACATATTCTTGAAATAATGCTAAATTATATAAATTGTAATTTTTTTCTAATTGGCACAACTTCACCAGGACAATGTAAGATCGAACTAGCCACTTGATGAAATTTTAAGGTGAACAGAAATTTTACTGAGAAGCTCTCACAATAAACAGGGGAGAACTCCTCTAAAGGAAATAAAAACATTTCGTTTAGCACAGGAGATGCTCCACTTGTTTCTATTTGAGAAATTAATGAGTATTGATTTACTAATCATATAGTTTGTTGCATTCTTCAAGTACCCAGGTTATTTCAACCACACATTCTTTTTTGTTATTCATGCCAAAATGTCTTTTACTACATTTAAACTATCTGCCTTCTCCTAACAAAAAAATAATATTAGCTTTCTATAGTGATAGCTTCATGTATGTATGAAGCTGGCTCCATCTCACTTTTTTTTTTGTTTCACTTCTTGGCTTCCTTTTTTTCACTTTAAAGTTTTTAAAGATTGATGAGAAAGAAATAATTGCACTGTAATGTGCATACTCTAGGAGTATCTAATCTAGAAAAGATATTCAAAATATCTAAGAGAAAGAAGAGTTAATAAAGTATTTGTTTCCTTTGGTGACTTTAAAAAGTACTTGCACAACAGCTTTCATTCATGCTTACTACAAAGAAAAGGTTCCAATACAGAGTAAGAGTTCTCTTGGGATGATTTATATAATCTCTAAAATTTAATTTATCATTTAAAAAGTCAGCATAATATTTGGTTTATACAAGATTAGAATTAAATATCTCATGATTTATGGTTAAGCTACCTGAATTTCCAGCATTGTGTTTGTGAATTAGGAAAATTAATAGGTGTTAATAGGTGTTTATATATATATATATATAATTAATAGTTGTATATATACATATATATACACATACTAAACAGAATGGCAATGTCTGATATTTCTTTATAGAGTTCATTTTATACAAAATGATTATATTCACTGTTACATAATCTTTAGATGGCAGGACAATTTTTAAGTGGAAATAGAAGCAAAACAATGGTCAGCAATCATAATTCGTCTTATGTATTTGAATGGCTAAAGTTAAGAAAACATGGCTGGGCGCTGTGGCTCACGCCTGTAATCCCAGCACTTTGGGAGGCTGAGGCAGGTGGATTACCTGAGATCAGGAGTTTGAGACCAGCCTGACCAACATAGTGAAATCCCGTCTGTACTAAAAAAAAAAAAAAAAAAAATTAGCCAGGCATGGTTGTGGGCACCTGTAATCTCAGCTACTTGAGAGGCTGAGGCAGGAGAATCACTTGAACCCAGGAAGCAGAGGATGCAATGAGACGAGATTGTGCCACTGCACTCCAGAGCCTGGGCATGACAGAGCGAGACTACCTCAAAAAAAAAAAAAAAAAAAGGAGAAAATATGCAAATGCCTTTGCTAATATTATATGTATACATTTACTATTTTTCATTTCAAAATTGTTAAGATAAGTTCTTATTAAGAAAAAATAGCTAGACAGTTTTCACTGTTTATTTATTTTTATTTGAAGGTTATTATCGGTATTTTTTTCCTCATGTCTGAAAAAATATTAATTAATTACAGTGGTCCCCATTACTGAAGGGTATACATTCCAAGACAGTGTATGACTGAATTATTGATAGTACCAAACTGTACATATACTATGTTTTTCTGTTATACATACCCATGATAAAGTTTAATTTATCAGTGATGTCGGTAAGAAATTTACAACAATAAGATAAAATAGAATAATTACAACAGTATACTGTAATAAAAGTTATGGTAAATGTGGTCTAGCTTTCTTTCTTTCTCTGTTTCTCAAGATAGCAATACTTTCAGATCATGGTTAACCAGGGATAAGAAGAAACTATTATGTTTGATAAAATTAATTTAAGTAACCATTATTGGGTTTAAATCACTATTTTAAAATTGATGATTAATATAATGTACAACCAGAATAAGTATAATAATTATGGGAAGTATAAATATGTGTAGAAGATAATGGCTATGATTTTCTTTTTATTAAAAACATTCTTATGGTTTATCAAAATAATGTAATGATACATTGTTTTATTTAATATAATGACTAGATTTAATAATGTATTATGAAAATTAATGTTATCTTTTAACACTTTTGTTAAAATCTTTACATTTATTGTCTTTTTAAATTTTCATATTTTTAAAAAATTTTTTTGAAGACAGGGTCTGGCTCTGTCTCACAGGCTGGAGGGCAATGGCCCGACCTCAGCTCACTGCAACCTCCACCCCCAGGCTCAAGCAATTCTCCCACCTCGGCCTGCCAAGTATCTGGGACTACAGGCATGTGCCACCACACTTGGCTATATTTTTGTATTTTTAGTAGAGACAGGATTTTGCCATGTTGCCCAGGCTGATCTCAAACTCCTGAGCTCAGGCAATCCACCCAACTTGGCCTCCCAAAGTGCTGGGATTACAGACGTAAGCCACTGTGCCCAGCCCATTTATTGCCTATTTGTGCATTTTTATACATTTATGCCTAAATACAGATATATACATGTGTATTAATAATTAACTTAATGCAGGGGTTTGGAGAAAGACGGCCAAATAGAAGGGTCCACTGATTATCTCCTCTGCAAGCAGACCAATTTAACAACCATCTACACATAGACAAAAATAACCTCATCAGAACCAACAATCAGGTAAGCACTCACAGTACCTGGTTTTAACTTCATATTTCTGAAAGAGACACTGGAAGAGGGTAGGAAAGACAATCTCAACTCACCAACACCACCCGTCCCCAGGCCCCTGGCAGCAGCCACATGGGAGAGGGAAGGCACAGGGATTGTGAGACATTGCATTGTACTCATTGCTGCCCTGTCACAGTAGAAAGCAAAACCAGGCTGAAGTCAGCTGATGCTCACCCATGGAGAGAGTATTTAAACTAGCCCTAGCCAGAGGGGAATGACCCATCTCAGCAGTCAGAACCTGAGTTCCGGAAAGCTTCACAATTGTGGGCTAAAGTGCTCTGGCACCTTAAATTTGCAAGGCAGTGTAGGAAATCAGGACTACAACCCCTGGCTGAGAACTAGTGCTGATATCCTTTAAGAGCCAGTGGTTTGGGGGCACATGACTTAACTGAGACACCACAGGGTAGTTAAAGGAAGTGCTTGCACCACCATTTCCCCAAACCCAGGCTACACAGCTCTCAGTTTCCAAAGAGACTCCTCCATTCCCACTTGAGAAGTAGAGAGGGAAAAGTGAAGAGGACTTTGTCCTATCCCTTGGATATTAGCTCAGCCACAGCATGTTAGGCCACCTGTCAAAGTTGTGAAGCCCCCTTTCAAGAACCTAGCTCCTAGACATCATTTCTAGACACATGGTGGTACAGAAGAGAACTCACTGCCTTGAAGGAAAGGATCCAGTCCTGGCAGGACCCAACACCTGCTTTCCCATCACCTTGGGATCTGGAAAACCAGCAGTGATACACAGATAGTATGCAAAGGGCCTTGGGTGAGACTTTTGAGACTTGCTGGCTTCGAGTGAGACTCAGCCCATTCCCAGCCCTAGTGGGCATGGGGAAAGACTCCCACTGATTGAGGAAAGTGAACAGAAAAGTAACAGGAACTTCACCTTGCACCTGAGGTGTCTGTGCTAAATCACAGGGGGATAGAGCACCAAGTGGGCTCTTGGGATCCCTGATTTCAGGCCTTGGCTCTTGGATGACATTCCTGGACCTACCCTGGGCACAAGGAGCCCAGTGCCTTGAAAGGTGAGTCCCAGACCAGGAAGCACTCACCATTTGACTGAAGAAATCTTGGGTCTTAAGGGAACATCAGCGATGCTTCCTATGGGCTTGTGGTGGTGGTGACCACAGAAGGAGGATCATCTGCCTGTGGAAAGGGGAAGGAGGAATGAGGACTGTGTTTCGTGGTTTGAGTGCCAGCTCAGCAGGAATACAATAGAACAACAGGTAGAATGCTAAGGCTTTTGACTCCAGACCCTGGATCCTAGCTAGCACCTCTGAACCAGCCTGGGGTCTGGGAGAACCCACTGCTCTGAAGGGAAGGACAAAAGCCTAGCTGGTTTCACCACTTGTTGATTATATAGCCGTAGGGCCTTGAGGGAATATAGATGGTAGCAAGGTAGCAGTTACAGTGGGCCTTCGGTGAGACCTAGTGTTCTGCCAGCTTCAGGGCTGACCTACCAGAGTCCCAGTAGTATTGACCACAGTAGTGCTTGTGTCACCCACTTCCAGCTCCAGGTGGGTCAGAACAGAGGAGAGATATTTTATCTGTCTAGAAGAGAGTATGTGAAGAAAACAAGAGCTTCCACCTGGTAATCCAGAGAATTCTACCAGATCTTGTCTGAGACCATCAAGGCTTTACCTCTATGACTCTGCAAGAACCAAAGTACTACTTGGCTTGGAGTACCCGTTAAAGCAGAAACAGCTTAGATTACAACATCCAAGTAATTTCAAATAGCTGGAAAGCCTTCCCAAGAAGGACAGCTATAAATAAGCTCAGGCAGTCAAAACAACAATAAATACCAAACTCTTCAATGTCCAGACACCAAAGAACATCTACTCGCATCAACAGTATCCAAGAAAACATGACCTCACCAAGTGAACTGGGCTCTAGGGACCAATCCTATAGAAATAGATATATGTAACCTTTCACAGAGAAAATTCAAAATGTTGAGGAAACTCAAAAACATTCAAGATAATACAGAGAAGCAATTTAAAATTCTATCAGATAAATTTAACAGAGAGATTAAAATAATTAGAAAGAATTAACCAAAATTCTGTACCTTAAAATGCTATTTGCTTATGGATGAATGCATCAGAGTCCTTTAAGCAAATAAAATAAAATAAAATAAAATAAAATAAAATAAAATAAAATAAAATAAAATAAAATAAAATAAAAAGAATTAGTGAGCTTGAAGACAGGCTATTTGTAAATACACAGTCAGAGGAGACAAAAAAAGAATAAGACAATAAAGCATGTCTACAAGAGCTAGAAAATAATTTCAAAAGGGAAATTCTAGGCATTGTTGGCTTTAAAGAGGAGGTAGAGAAAGAGATGGGGTAGAATGTTTATTCAAAGAGATAATAATAGAGAACTTTCCTAATCTAGAGAAAGACAGCAATATCCAAGTACAAGAAGGTTATAGAACACCAAGCAGATTCAACTCAAAGAAAAAACCTCAAGGCATTTAATGATTAAACTCTCAAAGCTCAAGGATAAAGAAATAATTCTAAAAACAGCAAGAGAAAAGAAACAAATAAAACACAATGGAGCTCCAATACGTCTGGCAGCAGACTTTTCAGTGGAAATTTCACAGGCCAGGAGAGAGTGGCATATTTAAAGTGCTGAAGGAAAAATAATTGTTACCCTGGAGTAGTGTATCTGGTCGAAGTGTTCTTCAAATATGAAGGAGAAATAAAGACTTGTGCAGACAAACAAAAGCTGAGAGATTTCATCAATACCAGAATTTTCCTACAAGAAATGCTGAAGGCAATAATTCACTCAGAAAGAAAAGGACATTAATGAGCAATAAATAATCATCAGAACGCACAAAACTTACTGATAATAGTAGGTACATAGAAAAACATGGACTATTTTACCACTGTAACTGTGGTGTGTAGTCTTATCCTAATTATAAATACTAAACGATGAACCAGTCAAAAATAATAACTACAACAACTTTACAAGACATAGTCCATACAATAAGAAATAAAGAGAAACAACAAAAACTTAAAAACTTGGAACACAAGGTTAAGGTGAGTATCTATTACATTTCTTCCGCTTGTTTTCTTGAGTTTGTGTGGGCAAATAATGTTATTTTGTTATCAAGTTAAAATAATGGGTTACAAGGGTTATTTGAAAGCCTCATGGTAATCTCAACCTGAAAAACATAGAGTGGATACAAAAAAAATTAAAAAGCAAGGAACTAAATTATAGCACCAGAGAAAATTACCTTCACTAATGGAAGACAAGAAGGAAAGAAAGAATAGAAAACCAAAAAGCAACCAGAAAACAAATAGCAAAATAGCAAGACTTAAGTCCTTACTTATTGATAATTACATTAAAGGTAAATTAACTAAACTCTCCTATCAAAAGACATAAACCGGCTGAATGGATTGGAAATAAGACCCATTGATCTATTGCCTGCAAGAAATGTATTTGAACTATGAAAACATACATAGACTAAAAATAATGGGATGGGAAAAGATATCCCATGCTAATGGAAACTAAAACAGACCAGAATTCGCTGTACATATAACAGACAAATTATATTTTAAGACAAAAACTGTAAGAAAAGACAGTCACTATTTAATGATAAAGGGGTCAATTCAGCAAGAGGATATAACAGTGTTAAATATATATGCACACAACATGGGAGAATCCAGACATATAAAGAAAATATTATTAGGGCTAAAGAGAAAAATAGGTCCCAATAGAGTATTAGCTGGAGACTTTAATAGCCCACTTTCAGCACTGAGCAGATCTTTCAGGCAGAAAAACAACAACAAAAAAATCAGACTTAACCTACACTATAGATCAAAATGGATCTAATAGGTATTTACAGAACTTTTCATCAAAGAGCTGCAGAATACACATTTTTTATTCATTCAAGAGCTGCAGAATAGACATTAAACAATATCATCCTGAATGACCAGTGTATCAATGAAGAAATTAAAAATGAAACTGAAAAATATTTTGAAACAAATGATAATGGAAACACAACATATCAAAACTTATGGGATACAGCAAAAGCAGTACTAAGAGGGAAGTTTATAGCTGTGTCTACATCAAAAAAGAGAAAAAACTTCAAATAAACAACCTTATGATGCATCTTAAAGAAATAGGAAAGCAAGAGCAAAGCAGACCCAAAATTAGTACAAGAAATTATAAAAGAGCAGAAATAAGTAAAGTTGAAAGGAAAAAAGCAATATAAAAGATCAATGAAACAAAAATTTATTTTTTGAAAATATAAGAAAATTGACAAACCTTTAGCCAGACTAGGTAAAAAGAGACATATACATAAATACAATCAGAAATGAAAAAGGAGACAGTACAACTGATACTACAGAAATTCAAAGAATCATTAGTGGCTACTATGAGCAACTACATACCAATAAATTGGAAAATCTAGAAGAAATGAACAAATTCCTAGATGGATACAACCTCTAAAGATTGATCCAGGAAGAAATCCAAAACCTGAACAGACCACTAACAAGTAAGAAGAAACGAGATCAAAGCCATGATAAAAAGTCTCCCAGTAATGTAAAGCCCAGGACATGATGGCCCACTGCTGAATTCCCCCAAACATTTAAAGAAGAACTAATACCAATCCTACTTAAACTATTCGGAAAGATAGAGAAGGAGGGAATACTTCCAAAATCATTCTATGTGGCCAGTATTACCGTAATACCAAAACCAGACAAATGCACGTAACAAAAAACTACAGGCCAATATCTCTGATGAATATTGATGGTCATCGACAAAATGCTAGCAAACCGAATTCAACAATACATTAGAAGGATCATTCATCATGACCAAGTAGGACCTATCCCTGGGATATAAGCATGGTTCAACATACACAAATCAATTAATTTGATGCATCATTACAACATAATGAAAGATAAAATCCATATGATTTTTCAATTGATGCTGAAAAAACATTTAATAAAATTCACTACCCTGTCATTATAAAATCCTTCAATAAACTGGAGAGAGAAGGACCATACCTCAAAATAAGAAAAGCTGTATGCAACAGAACCACAGCTAGTATTATATTGGATAGGGAAAATAAGTCCTTTTCTCCAAGATCTGGAACACAATAACAATGCGCACTTTCACCACTGTTATTGAACATAGTACTGCAAGAACCACATGGAACAATCAGAAAAGAGAAAGATATAAATGACATCCAAATTGGAAAAGAAGTCAAATTATCCTTGTTTGGAGATGATATGATCTTATATTTGGAAAAACCTAAAGACTCCACAAGAAAACTATTATAACTGATAAAAAAAAAATTCAGTAAAGTTGCAGGATACAAAATCAACATACAAAAACCAATAGCATTTTTCTATTCTAACAGTGAACAATGTGAAAAAGAAACAAAAGTAATATCATTTACAATAGCTACACAAAATAAATTAAATTATTTAAAGGAGTAAAAGATCTCTATAATGAAAACTCTAAAACACTGATGAAAGAACTTGAAGAGAAGACCAAAAAATGAAAATATATCCCATGTCCATGGAGTGGAAAAATCAATATTGTTAAAATGTCCATATTGCCCAAAGCAATCTACAGATTCAATGCAATCCCTATCAATATACTAATGACATTCTTCAAAGAAATAGAAAAAAATTATAAAATATATATGGAAGCACAAAAGACCCAGAATGGCCAAAGCTTTCCCAAACAAAAAGAACAAAACTGGAGGAATCACCTTACCTGACTTTAAATTATACTACAGAATTATAATATCCAAACAGTATGGTACTGGCATAAAAATAGACACATAATCCAGTGAAGCAGAAAAAAAGGAACCGACGAATGAATCCATAGACCTACAGTGAACTCATTTTCACAAAATGTGCCAAGAATATACAGTGGAGAAAAGATGATCTTTTCAATAAATGATCCTGGGAAAACTAAATATCCATATGCAGAAAAATGAAACTAGACTCCTATCTCTAGTCATACACAAAAATCAAATCAAGATGAATTAAAGACTTAAATCCAATACCTCGAACCATGAAACTACTACAAGAAAACATTGGTGAAAATCTCCAGGACATTGGTTGGTCTGTTCAAAAATTTCTTGAAAAATTTCTCCACAAGCACAGGCAATCAAAGCAAAAATAGACAAATGATTACATCAAGTTAAAAAGCTTCTGCCCAGCAAAGGATACAATCGAAAAAGTAAAGAGACAACCCACAGAATGGGAGAAAATATTTGCAAACTATCCCTCTGACAAAGGATTAATAACAAGAATATAAAAGGAGCTCAAATATCTCTATAAGAAAACGTCTAACAATCCAGTCAAAGAATGTGCAAGATATATGAATAGACAGTTCTCAAAAGAAGACATACAAATGGCAAACAGACATAAGAAAAGGTGCTCAACATCACTGATCATCAGAGAAATGCAAATCAAAACTACAATGAACTATATTCTAAGCACAGTTAAAATGTTTTCTATACAAAAGATAGGAAATAACAAATGCTGGGGAGCATGTGGAGAAAAGTGAACCTCGTTGTACACTGTTGACGGTAATGTAAAATAGTAAAACCACTATGGAGAACCACTTGGAGTTTCCTCAAAACACTAAAAATTGAGCTACCAAATAACGCAGCAATACCACTATGGGGTATACACCCGAAAGAAAGGACATCAGTACACTGAAGATATATTTGTACTCCTATGTTTGTTGCAGCACGTTTACAATAGCTAAAATTTGGAAGCAACCTAAGTGTCCATCAGCAGATGAATGGATAGAGAAAATGTGGTACATATGCACAATGGAGTAAATTCAGTTATAAAAAAGAATGAGATCCAGTCATTTGCAACAACAACATGGATGGAACTGCAGATCATTTTTATGTTAAGTGAAATAAGCCAGACCAAGAAAGACAAGCATCCTATGTTCTCACTTATTTGTGAGATCTAAAAATCAAAGCAATTGAAGTCATAGACATAGAGAGTGGAGGGATGGTTACTAGAGGCTGGGTGAAGTAGTGGGGGCCTGGAGGGCAGGGAGTTAAAATTGGTTAATTGGCACAAAAAAAAGTTAGAAAGAATGAATAATTCCTACCATTTGATAACACATCAGGGTGACCATAGTCAATAATAACTGTACATTTTTTAAAAAGTTAAATAATGTAATTGGATTGTTTGCAACTCAATGGATAAATGCTTGAGTGGATGGATACCCCATTCTTTATGATGCACCTTATTTCACATTGCATATCTGAATCAAAACATCTCTTGTATCC